>NC_000014.9:74763228-74914743 GCF_000001405.40 Homo sapiens | reverse complement strand
TGAAACTCCGTCTCAAAAAAATAAATAATAAACAAAGAAGTCAAGGCACTAGACAGTCCTCCATCCTCCAAACCACTGAGTAAAAGGAGTTTCTTGTTTGGTTGGATGAATGGGAAAATGCCTGCTGCTTTGCTGCCCTTTTGAAATATAATGAAAGAAAAAGGAGAAGAAAAAGAAAATCCCCTGAATCCTGCCGAACTCCAAGATAATCACTGTTAATGTTTTAGTCTAATTATTTCTGAATACTGAGGTTGGTTTTAATATGTTTTTAACAGAAATCTTTCAGTGTATGGATCAAGGTTTATTTCTGGCCTCCTCAGCCTTCCCTCCTTCGCTAGTTTTTTTGGACTCTGTCAGTTACAGGCCCTTGCCCAGGACCAGGTGGTGGGGAATCCCACTTGGCAAGGGACAGTGGGGAATTATCTGGGGTGTCAGGATTTGTGGGAAACTCTGTTCTCCTAAATGACTCCAGAGTTTTCTTCCTTGCTTTTTCTAACATTGCACAAGTTTGGTCAGGGAGCCAAGCCCAGGCTGGACTCGGTCTCTGGCTGTTGGAGGAGAGACCTCTGGTGGTTGGAGAGGACACCTCGCTCCTGCTGAGAAAAGGGTCCTGGGCGCTCTCATCTAGTCCACTGCCTTCCTTTCACTGATGATGGAGAAACAGGCTCAGGAGGGAAGGCCATTGCCAGGGTCACCTGGTTGTGCCCCCAGTTCCAGTAAAGTCTGCAGGGCTCCGGGATCAGCCTGTCTGGGTTCAGGTCCTGACTTGACCACTTTTTAGCAGTGGGACAGTAGGCAACATAACCTCTCTGAGGCTCAGGCCTGAATTTTGGCAGGATTGTGGGGATAAAATTAAACAACCTATGTAAAGTGCTTAGCACAGAGTAACCACTTTACAGCCAGGGTGGGCTTCCCCTCGGATGACACTGGTAATAATCACGACAGGTTATCAAGGGTGTGTTCTGCGGCAGGTGCAGGCTGCTGCTCTGCCTGAATTGCCTGCTTTAACAGAATCCTCTTCAGGACCCCCTGAAGGAAGTGCTGCTATGACCCCGTTTTGTACTTAAAAAGAGCAAGGTTCAGAGAGGCCATGTGACTTGGCAGATGTGATCACTGACATTCTCACAGCCTTTCCACTCACCAAGGGCTTTCTTGGTTTTTTGTTTTTTGTTGTTTTGTTTTGTTTTTGAGATGGAGTCTGTCTCTGTTGCCCAGACTAGAGTGCAGTGGCTTGATCTAGGCTCACTGCAACTCTGCCTCCTGAGTTCAAGTGATTATCCTACTTCAGCTTCCCAGGTAGCTGGGATTACAGGCGGGCACCACTATGCCCAGCTAATTTTTGTATTTTTAGTAGAGACGAGGTTTCACCATGTTGGCCAGGCTGGTCTTGAACTCCTGACCTCAGGTGATCCACCCGCCTTGGCCTCCCAAATTACAGGGATTACAGGCATAAGCCACCACACCTGGCCCTCACCAAGGGCTTTCAGAATGGCTTCAACAATCCAGAGATGTAGGGAAGGTAGGCATTTGGAATTCCTGGTTGGTAGATGAGAAAATCAATTCAATTTGCCCAGGATCGAAGCCCAGTGCCCCTTCCCCTACCCTGATCCCAAGCTGTGGCCTTCCTCACTGCCCAGCAGCCTGGCCTCAGGGCCCAGTTCCCACCCCGACCATGGCTGGCCACAGCCTCCCTGGGGAATGTCCGCAGGGCAGGCCAACAGCCAAGGAGTCACAACCCCAGGGTGCTGGCCTTGCCTCCACATGCCCTCACCTGGGCTGAATCCTCTGCCTTCCCGCCCTCGACGTACCCATGTGCCCGCTCCTATGCTGGGGCCCGCCCCTGCCCACCATGCAGATGAGTCAAGGGCCCAACTCCAAACATGGCCCTGACCTTGCGATTGACAGCGTCTGCCTCTAATGGAAACCAACACAAGAAGGAGAGGCTGCTCTCCAAAGACGGCCTCTCAAGCGGACTTTACTTATTTATTTTAAATTTTTATTTGCAGTCAGGAGTACATGTGCAGGTTTTTCACATAGATAAACTTGTGTCATGGGGGTGTGTGTAAATGAAGGGGGTGGAGTGGAGTGGGAAAAAGGCCTGAACGCAGCGTGCCAAGCCCACACAACATGGCTGCGCTGGGGAGACCTGGAGTCACCTCAGAGCTGCGGCTTCCTCAGTTGTAAAACAAGAGATCAGAGGAAGTGACTGGCTCTGAGGTCCCTTCCAGCCATGACACCTCAGACCCTGCAGGATGTTGGGGCTCTAGCTAAGGCCTTGGGTGAGGGGTTGATCTCTGGAGGTCCAGTTGGAACAGGGCTTCTCAGTTGATCTCTGGGGTCCAGGTGGAACAGGGCTTCTCAGCTGATCTCTGGGGTCCAGGTGGAACAGGGCTTCTCAGCCCTCCCGTCAGGTGGCATGAGGCCTGGCCCAGCGTGGGCAGGGAGAGGGCAGGGCATTCTGCTCGCATGCCCACCACGCACACAGTGAGCCAAGGCCCGGGCTGCTCACAGTGCATGTGTCTAGCACCTACTACATCCCTGCACTGTGCAGGGCTCCGGGAATACTGAGCTCACAGTCCAGTGGGAGACAGATTAGACAGTGTGAAGAGGCTCTCCTAAGGGTGAACTAAGAGAGCATTGGAGGCAGATTAGGGACCCCAGCCCCTGTAATCTTGGGAAGGCTTCCTGGAGGAGGCAGCATCTGAGACCACAGGTCTAGCAGGGGTGGGTGAGCAGGATAGGATCGATGTCTGCTTCAGGAGTGCCACCAAAGCCCGCCCTCCCTGCCCTGCCACTGGAGTGAGTCAGCCTCAGTGGAGGAACCTGGGAGGGGGTCAGGCTGGGGTCACGGAGCCCCAGGAGCTAGTACCTGCCTTAACCAGTGCCTCTTGGACTTTGGCAGGTGCAGCTGGTCCAGGACCCGGCAACCGGAGGGACCTTTGTGGTGAAGGCAGGTGCCACCCTGCCCCTGCCACTCTGCATTCCCCTTGGATCTTTCTCAGGGCTCTTGGAAACTCCTACCCAGAACCTGCATTTGAAGCCTGCACTCCCTCCCACAAAAGCTGGTTGTTCTGCCTGAACATGCCCCACTTTCCAGATGGACACACATGCATGCACACACACACATACACATACACATACACATACACACAAACACACATGCACACACACTGCCCCCTCTTTGGCTAGAGGGTGGAGGACCCAGATTCTACAGGGGCAGTGGGGGTAAGGACAGGTCAGGAACTGAGGGAGGCAGTTGCTCCACCCTCATTCGGGTGCCCCTGAAGCCAGGGCTAGGAGGTCCCCTAACAGCAGCAGTCTCTGGCCTGTCCCCGGCTGATCTGCCTGCCCTGCTGCTCCCAGAGCCTACCCAGGTGCCACATGGTGAGCAGGGAGCGGCTGACCATCATCCCACACGGAGTCCCCTACATGACGAAGCTGCTCAGGTACTTTGTGAGCGAGGACTCCATCTTCCTGCACCTGGAGCATGTGCAAGGTGAGCAGGCCTGGGGCCCCCTGTCAGCTCCCCAGGCCTTTGGGGTATGTCGTCAACCCTTAAAATGCGGAGCCCTGGCAGGGCGTGGTGGCTCACGCCTGTAATCCCAGCACTTTGGGAGGCCGAGGCAGGCGGATCAACTGAGGTCAGGAGTTCAAGACCAGCCTGGCCAACATAGTGAAACCCTGTCTCTACTAAAAATACAAAAACTAGCCAGGTGTGCTTGCACGTGCCTGTAATCCCAGCTACTTGGGAGGTGGAGGCAGGAGAATGGCTTGAACCCGGGAGGTGGAGGTTGCAGTGAGCCAAGATCACGCCACTGCACTCTAGCCTGGGCAGCAGAGCAAGACTCCGCCTCAAAAAAAAAAAAAAAAAAAGCTGAGCCCTGGGGAGGGGCGGAGCTTGCACCAGATGTACAGCACAGACCAGGGGACCCGGCCTTTCTGGAGGCCAGTCAGGCTGTTGTGGGCCCCTGTGTGGTACCAAGGGGGCAGGGGACATCCTGGGGTGGATGTCCACATCGTGGGTGGGCGTGAGAATCACAGCTGTCTCCTCTGTCGCTGTTTCCTCCAGCGTTGGCTCTTTTCATTTTTCCGGGTTGTGCCGATCCCTTGGGAGTGGCCAGACAGGGTGGTGGTGACTGAAGTTATGAGGACAGGAACTGGGCCATGTAGCAGATACTGATGGTTGTATTGATGACTTTTTAAAGTGAGGTGCACATCTGGGGTCATGACATATAGTCATCATAAGTGTGTGCCTGACTTTTCTTTAAATTTCTTTATATCGGTCTCCCTAAAAACAGTGTTCACACTAGTGAACCCACCACCCAAACCACAGACACTGATAGTGCTGGACATCTCTCGGTGGTGTGCCAGTTTGTAAGGCTGGGCCCACTTTAGTTGGGTCAAGAGGAGGGCAGAGGGCATTCTAAGCTGAGGGGTGGGAGGGAGCAGAGGTGAGGGGCTGAACTAGGCCAGGACACCCAGAGGCGGAAAGTCTGCGCCCAAGACAGAAGGGAGGCAGGAGTGGGAGCCGGCCCTGGCATCCATACTCTTTTTCTCCCTGTCCCCACGCTCACCGCTCCCTCTGCATGGCCCAGGAGGCACTCTCTGGTCCCACCTGCTCTCCCAGGCGCACTCCCGACATTCTGGGCTCAGCTCTGGCTCTACCCAGGAGAGGATGAAGGCTCAGCTCAACCCCCACCTCAACCTCCTGACCCCAGCGAGGCTTCCCTCAGGCCATGCCCCTGGCCAGGACAGAATCGCCCTGGAGCCTCCTAGGACTTCTCCGAACCTTCTCCTAGCTGGGGAGGCCCCATCCACCAGACCCCAGAGGGAGGCTGAAGGTGAACCCACAGCCAGGACCAGCACCTCTGGCTCCTCGGACCTTCCAAAGGCCCCAGGTGGCCACCTGCACCTTCAAGCTAGGAGGGCTGGCCAGAACTCAGACGCTGGGCCCCCTCGGGGGCTCACTTGGGTTCCTGAGGGGGCCGGCCCGGTGCTAGGGGGCTGTGGCCGAGGCATGGATCAGAGCTGCCTGTCAGCAGATGGGGCCGGCCGGGGCTGTGGCAGGGCCACCTGGAGTGTGAGAGAGGAGCAGGTGAAGCAGTGGGCGGCAGAGATGCTGGTAGCGCTGGAGGCGCTGCACGAGCAGGGGGTGCTGTGCCGGGACCTCCACCCCGGGAACCTGCTCCTGGACCAGGCAGGTAGGTGCCCTCCTCACCCCTCAGTGGGGTGGCCCCCAAAGCGTCCAGGCAGAGGACGAGAGATCCCCAAAGTCGAGGGGACCTCCAAGGTTGTCTGCTCCTCCCTGGCCCCAGCCAGCCTTTCAGGGGGCCTAGGCTGGAGTCTGTTGGCCGAGGCTCCTGGGAGTACCCTGTGGGCTCTGTGGGCCTCAGAGTGCTGTGCCTCTGTGGAGGGTGCTGTGCCCCTGCCGAGTTTCTGCCCAGCAAGGCCATTGGCTCCTACCGCATGACTGTTGGGGGAAGCCCTGCAACCCCCTCCCCTGTATCAGCTGTCCTCAATCTGTCCCCTCCTTTTTCCTCCCACACACTGGAGGTCACATCCGGCTCACATATTTTGGCCAGTGGTCAGAGGTGGAGCCCCAGTGCTGCGGGGAGGCCGTGGACAATCTCTACAGCGCCCCAGGCAAGAAGGGGGGAGGCCAGGGTGGGCCTTAGCACCTGGGTGCCTTTGTGTGGGTTGTGCCCAGAGTCTGAGAATGACAGAGCGGGTGGGTGGTGTCTGGGTAGGCTGAGGAGAATGGAAGAGGCCCTCTTAGGTGAGGCTGGGACACCTGTGTTCTTGTTCCCACAGAGGTGGGTGGGATTTCCGAGCTGACGGAAGCCTGTGACTGGTGGAGCTTTGGGTCTCTACTGTATGAACTGCTGACGGGAATGGTGAGTGGCTGGGCTGGGTGTAGTGCCCTGGTGGGTGCCACTGAGTGTGGGATGGGCCAGGCTTAGTCCATCCAGCCAGTCTGGGCAGAGACTGCCTGGCTGTCCTACCAGCACAACTGCCCCCGAAGCCAGGGACACACTTAGCACTCCCAACACATTAGTTGGCTATAGCTAAGGAGACTGTCAACTTCTATGAATACGAGTAGAGTGGGATGGTCAGGGAAGGTTTCTGCCAGAGAGCCTGGGCCCAGGTGGTGTCAGATTTGGAGGAAGCGCGGAATGTGACACAGCCCTTCTTCCCTGGAAGGCTGTTCAATCATCCTGAGCCCGCTGTTCACTCCTCCCACCCATGACCTCGTTGGCTGTCACCCCCAGACCTTAGCTGGAGGATGGGAGAGAGGGGCTCTTTCACCCAGGCAAGCAGCTGCCCTGTCCAGCCTGGGTCAGCCAAGAGCTCAAAAGATCCCCCTGCAAACACTCCGGGAACCTGTGTTTGCAGGTTGCAATCAGAGCAGGCACTCTTGGGAACAGTTGATGGCTCTGCCTTCTGTCCTCCCCTCATGAGCTGAACACTGCAACTGAGGCCAGTTATGTAGGCAGCAAGGGGGAGGCCAAATTGCATTTGAGCAGGAAATAGCCGAAATGGATGCAGCGTGAACTGAAGTCCAGAGCTGACCAGTCCATCCAGGCTCCCTCCTGCTTTCGTCCCATGGCACGGGGTCCCGAAAGTCCTGGCTGCAATTTCCCCCAGAGTGGCTCTCTCTTTTCCTGTCTCCTCCCACCTCTCCAGCCCAGAGCTCTTGGCCTTCCTCCTGGGGGTTCCTGGAAGCTCATACTTCCCTCCAGACAGACCCTCTGCTCCTCAAAGCTGTGCCTTTCTGGGGTGTGGAGAGGTCCTATTTTCTTTTATTGCCACGCCGCTGCCTTGGCCCCGATGGTAGCATGCCATGGCCTGCTGCCAAATGAACAGCCCGTGTGGATTTTTAAAATAAGGAGACAAGTTCCATCACTATTCCCAAGAGTGCCTGCCCTGATTGCAACCCAAGATAGTTGCTTCTAGCAAGCTTGGAGCCAAGAGACCTAGGTTCAAACCCTGAACTCAGCACAAGTCCCTTTACCTCTCTGGGCCTGTTTCTTGCCTTTCGTGGATAACATAAAGGCACTGCTTAGCCATCAGGCACTGTGTCTGGCTGTAGCAACTATCATTATTGTCATCCTCCTCATGGGCTGTGACATGGGGAAAAAAAATCCTGGCTGCCACTGGAGTGTAGACGGTCCTGGGGTTGCCTCCTCAGAGGCCCTTCCCTGTGTCCTCCCAGGCACTGTCCCAGAGCCACCCTTCAGGAATCCAGGCCCACACCCAGCTCCAGCTGCCCGAGTGGCTCAGTCGCCCAGCGGCCTCTCTGCTGACTGAGGTGAGGTGTAGCCCGGCCAGAGGAAGCAGCTGCCTAGCCTGAGGAAGGTGCTGGGAGGGGCACAGAACTGTGTCTGAACCACGTGTGCTTCGTGCTCAGTGTCTGATGTGGGTGCAGAGGGCAGTAGGGGCAACACATTTCTATATGTTGGTGGCCAACCACCACCAATGTTCCCAGGGTAAAATGGGGGTTCTGTGGGCCAGGCTGCCAGGGAGCAGGCCCCCTAGAGGCCATAGTGGTTGGAGTCCCTGGAGGTCACCCCATGCCTCCACAGCTGGAGTGGCCCAGCTGACTGGGCCTCTCTCTGCAGCTGCTGCAGTTCGAGCCTACCCGGCGCCTGGGCATGGGAGAAGGTGGTGTCAGCAAACTCAAGTCCCATCCCTTTTTCAGTACCATCCAATGGAGCAAGCTGGTGGGGTAAGAGGGCAGAGCGGGTGACGGAAGCAGCTGGCCTGGTCTGGATCGCCTCTCCTCCTTGCCTGACACCCAACCCAGGGCTGGCCCTCTATCAGCGGGCTTTGGGCGAGGAATGGAGGGCACTGTCTGTCCTGCTGGGCTCCCACTGGGGCCTCAGAATTATGGCCACCACCCAGGAAGGGCCAGCTCCTGGAAAAGCTGGAGGTGGGGGCAGTCAAGGCTTGCCCTGCTAAGCAGCTTGAACCATCTACCCATCAGTCAACAGACCCGTTGAGCATGTGGACTCACCATGTTAAAGGTTGCCTTCTGTGGCACTGGCGCTGAGCTGTTGACCACCTGCTGCACCCTACTGTGAGGTTCTGTGACTCACTCACTGCCATGTTGTGCCCCACTCAGGACATCTCTGGAGACTCATCTCAGGACACTGATCCACTGGCTCAGTGGACCCAAACCAGACTGTCCTGGCTAGTCCTCTTAGTCACACAGCGAGTAGGCCTCTTCCACCAGAAGCTGTTCGTGCAGCTGGGGAGGCCCAGAAGCAGGGATGCCATCTGTTGTGCAGGGAGGGATGAGGTAGGGGACAGGATGACCCCCACCCCCACCCCCCCACCCCCGATTCCTGACCATGCCCCCTATCTTGTGATTTCAGACTTGGGAGAGCAAAAGGGAGGGGAAGAAAATAAGAGTAATGGGGGGAGGAAGGAATGCATGGGTCTGCCCCTTAGAGCAAGTCTGAAACCAGAATCAAGAGTCCTCCTCCCCAGTGGGCCTGTGTGGGGGAAGAGGGGCAGCCTGCCCCAGGGGTGCAAGAGGACAGCAATTCAGCTTCCAGGCCAAAGCAGTTTAGACAAGGTGTGCCCATCAGGACTCCCTCTCAGGCCCTGGCTGTTTACCATGTCACTGCCTACTGTGACTTCATGCCCTTTTGGGATAAGAAACCACAAAACGCATGGAACAACTATCCATGGCTCTTAGCCAGAAATGTCTTGCCTCTGGTCTCTGAAAAGCTGGGGTGAGTGGTTACCTCAAAGACAATTGCCTCCAGTTTGGGGGCTCCTCTCAGGGTTCACCCTGTCACCGGGGCGTGGGACCGACCTGGGAAATTTCCACTAGAGTTTTGCCCTCAGCTCCTCCCTGCCAGCATCCCAGTCACCACCAGGTGGCGCTTCTGACACGGTCCACGTGCCTGGCTCTGAAGGCCCAACTGTCAGACCAGACCCCTCACTCATGGTGGGGAGACTTGACTTCCTCGGGCTCTTCAGGAGACTGAGACAGAGAAGACAAGTGAAAGCGCAGCCTGTACATGACTCTCTGTGGTCCACGTCCTGCCTCTCCCTGGGGTTTACACGGCCCCAATAAAGCCTGCTCTGGCCTACGGTGTTCTCGCTTCTTCCATGCAATGACCACGGCTCATTGGGGCAGGTTGGAAGGCTCCCCTGTAGAAGCTCCAGAGTGAAGTCAAGAGCGAGCTTGGGGCTGCCAGGAAGTAGGACGCAGGGCTGGTGGTGAGCAGCATGCCATGTGGGCCTCAGGGGAAGGGGTGGGGTCGGGGAGGACCAGGTTCTGTGGGGAAGAGGATGAAGAAGCCTTGGAAGAGGCTCATGGTGCCTGGGGGAATACCAGTTTCATCCTCACAGTGACCCCTTGCAACAGACGGTAGCTCCTGAGAAAACTGAAGCTCAAAAAGGTTAAGGACACAACCTAGCCAGAGTTGCAAGTTAGTGTTCCTTCTGCTACTCTCCCTAAGTCAGGCTGGACCACTTCCAACCACCGCTTCATGAAGCACAAGTCCCTTCTGGAACTTCTGTGCTTCATCCACCCAAAGCTACACATCTGACACTTTGTTGGGCCCTGAGTTTAGAATACTGTGGGTCCCAGCTCTTACAGTCGACCTCCTTTCGATAAAATGGGGTAAATAATGCCTATTTTGCAGGTTTACCAGATAGATAAATTAAAGCTTCTAACACCAAATCCTGTTCTTCCTTTCATTCAACCTAATTTGTTTTTCTATCTACTAGAGCTCTAGTTCTACTCTCTGGGACCCACTTCCCTCCTGTGACAGACCTTCACAGAGGGATGGCCTCACTGCAAGAGCTCAGCAGACAGGGACTCTGGAAAAGACAAGGCTGTGTTTAAGCCTGGACTCCATCACACCTGCCACCTGCAGTCTAGGTTAGCTACCCACCCTGTACACTCACGCTCACTGACCACTGCTCCTAGGTCATCAACCCTCACCTGTTCATGTGTATTGACCTTGAGCATCTTGGTCCACAAGGCTATCAAATCCAAATGAAATGAGATGCCCCCACTCCTCCCAAATCCATCACTGAAATAATGTAAGCCCACACAAAAAATGCAAGTCTACTGGTGTTTTGAAAGGGCTTCACAAAGATGGTGACCCCAAATTCTCTATTCTAGAGTATGGCTTGACAGGCTCAAGGAAGGTGGGGCACTAAGAGACTATGATGCTTTATGGAAACAAAACAAAAAACATCCTAAGCCCCCCAACCATCTGTATGGACCCCTCGTCTCAGTCAAGGGTATTCCAAAGTTAACCTGAAACGCTAGTTCGGGCCATGGTGGGAAGAGGGAGCCAGCCATTCCTCATTATACTCCCCTCCCTTTTGGAATTACTGTTAAAACAGGCTCCTTAAGTCTGATGAGAAGCATTTACAATCTATTTTCTCTGAAGCCTGCTGGCTGGAGGCTTCATCTGCATAAAACCTTGGTCTCCACAACCCCTTACTGTAACCCAGACATTCCTTTCTATTGATTCCAGGTCTTTAGATAATAACTCTTTCAACCAATTGCCAATCAGAAAATCTTTGATTCTGCCTATGACAACATCCCCAGGTCTTGAGCTGTCCTGCCTCTCCAGACCAAACCACTGTACATCTTACATGTACTGACTGGTATCTTATGTCTCCCTAAAATGTATTAAATGTATAAAACTAAGTTGTAGCCAGACGACCCTGGACACATGTTCTCAGGATCTCCTAAGAGTTGTATCACAGGCCATCAGTCACTCACACTTGGCTCAGAATAAATCTCTTCAAATATTTTTACAGAGGTTGACTCTTTTTGGCAACACTTTCCCGGCTGGCAGTCAGGGTTCTACCTTCTGTCAAATTATGAGTGTTAAGTTCCACATAAGGGATTTCTGATTTCACAAAATAAGCAACAGGACCTTGAGTGGCTTTCAATAATTTCAGTGCAACAGTGCTGGGGACTTGTACCACCTCAGTAGCCAAAAGGAACAGATACAGGAACCCTGTTTGAGAATATCTGCCCTTTAATTTGCATTTAAAATCAGTTTCTTTAAATACTTTAGTTACAAGTTCTGAATAGTGAAGACAGAGTAGTAGATGCTGCAGGCACTCAGTATTGGCTCCCACCCCTTCCCCCCTCCCCCACCCCCAGGCCTCACTTCTTGGCTTAAGATACAAAAGGGCACTCTCTACTGGCCCTGGTGTCAAACGTCAGCAGCCTCAGGCCTGGATGCAGTTGGATACAAAGCCATGAATCCCAGTGGCTCCAAGGAATTCCAATGATTGTGCCCAGATCCACGGGCAACACACCTTAGAAATGACCTCATCCGTTTCACCACTAGGTACTAACACCCTCAGGGTGGTTTCCTACCCCAGTCCACGTCCTCCAGATCTGTGTCCTGCAGAGGAAGAGACAAGGCCCCGCTATAACGCAGGAAGGAACAAAAACTGCCTCCTCAGCCCAGGTGCTTACAGCAACTTAACTGAAAAGCTCAAGGCAATGTGAGTCAGTCTAGAGGAGACCTCCCTTCCCTAGTCTCTACCAGGCTCTGGCCCTTCCTCGGGACCACGCTTGGTCCCACTGCCATGATGTGCTAGAATCTGCTCTAAGAACAAGGTGCTAGAATGAGGCCCAGCAACCAGCAAAGGGGTTGGAAAGGGTTGCTACAGCCCCAGCTGTGTGAGATTGTGCCAAGACGAGTCTTCTTGGTGTCAGCCTATGATGGAGAGCGTGAGGGCAGGCCTGGGCTCTCCTTCTATGATGATTACAATGCATGACCTCAGGGGACCTCTGCCCTCTCCTCCCACTCACACACCCAGATCCCCTGGCCTGTGCTTCCTGGAAGAGGTAGAAGAGGCATCTTGAAGTCAATGACAACGGAGAATGAAGGTGCCATTGAAGAAGCAAAGCAGCACCTCTTTGCCTGTGTTCAATCCCTCCACACAAGTGGAATCAAGGGAGAATGTGCACAGCCAGGACAGAGGCTGCTCTGAGCTTGGGAGGCACAGCATCCTCCTAGAAGTCTCTGCAGAACAAACTTTCAAAAGATAGGAACTTAATCACATGGTCCCCAGGGGTTTCTCTATAGTATACCAGCACTAGGGAAAAGCAAAATCATCTTTGCAGAGAGCTGATGGAAGAAAGGCAGGAATATGAATGAGCATCCATTAAGGCTCTCTCTCTTAAGCCTAAGGAATTAAGATATTCGAGGCTATGAGACAGGTGCAGAGAGGGAGAGCCTGGCAGGAACGCCAAGAAAAGACCTGTGACTGCTGGTTACACAGTGCTCTGCTTCCTTGCTTGAGGCCAACAGCATGTGTCTGCCTGTCACCAGGCTAACCCGGGACCCATGAGGGGACAGGGAGAAGACTGGTTTTCAGTTCCTGCATGATCAACTTGTAGGGTGTGTGGGTTCCTCCTAAAGATCCAGGAGGAGGACTCTGGGATCCTCTACCGCTGCCTTGATTTTGCGGAGGAAAGTCACAGCCTCTCTGCCATCAATCAGCCGGTGATCATAGGTCAGTGCCACGTACATCATGGGCCGCACCTCTACCTACAGAGAGGAAAGGTAAATAGGTTTGTCTCCAGCAAGCCACAGCCAGCCTCGCTGAAGGAGATTTAGCACAGCCCATAAGAAAGTTCCTAATTCCAGAGCCTTTCCTATTGATGTTGCCTCTGCATATTTACAGTATTTCAAAGACCAGGACTTACCCTCAGTGCAAAGCTTCCCCACTCAGAAACAAAGTTTGCCAAGAAAACTGTCTTCTCACAACTGCCTTTTATTTTTTAAAAACATACTCTGCCCTCTAACGCATCTGCTGCCTACAAGGAAAGTTTTCCCTTCAGTTCTGGCTGCCTGTACTTGCTTCTCTCTGGGGTTAGAATTTAAAAAAAAAAAAAAAAATTAAGCCAGGGTCTACAAATTCTGGAATTGTATGTGTAGCTGGGTGTATGGGCATTTTCCAGGAAGATCTACAGACTGTGGTTTCACACAGGAGTCAGTAACCCAAAAGGATTCTAAACACAGGAGTTCCCAGAAAGCTTTTTTGATACCAACGTATCTTCTAAGGGCCAGCTCAAGCCCCTTTTAATACTTAATTCTCTGAACTCCCGGGAAATTTACAAGCTTTATCATACAACTTGGCAGCTCACAGACTGACATGCATAATTGTCATCTGTTTCCCAGGGGCAAGGGACCACGTTTCCAACTATATCCCCCACTCCATAGAAGCAAACAAGCCTCCTCAGCTCAGTGGTTCTCAAACTTGAATATGCATCAGGATCATCTGCACTTCTTCTTTAAGTCTGGGATGGGGTCTAAGAATATGCATTTCTAATAAGGTCCCAGATGATGCTGATCCAGACCACAATTTGATAATCAGTGCCTTAGCTATTAGAAACTAAGAAATGGAACTTAGGCCTGAAATTATAGTTAATGTTTTACAATTAGCATTTAGTTGGATTTCCCTTTCATCGAGACCTAGCCACTAGGACCTTAGAAGTGACGGTTCCTACCTTGCCTCCTATAGCCACTGGCCTGTCAAAGATGCCATGCATCCCCAGGATGGCAGACTGAGGGGGGTTGATAATGGGTGTTCCAAAGAGCGAGCCAAAAACGCCTCCATTGCTAATGGTGAAGGTACCGCCATCCATATCTTCAATGGCAAGTTCATTCTTTCGGGCCTAAAAACAGATTTCATAATTGAAATATCAAGCCAACCCAGTTTCCTTCACCTAAAGTCAGTCCATAATCCCAGCGCTTTGGGAGGCCGAGGCAGGAGGACTGCTTGAGGCCAGGAGTTCAAGGCCAACCTGGGCAACATAGTGAGACCCCCATCTGTATAAAAAACTTAAGAATTAGCCAGGCATGGTGGTGCACACCTGTAGTCCCAGCTACTTGGGAGGCTGAGGCAGGAGAATCGCTTGAGCCCAGGAGTGCAAGGCTGCAGTAAGCTATGACTCTACCACTCTACTCCAGCCTGGGCAACACAGCGAGACCCTGCCTCTAAAAACAAAAAAGCAAAGGAAGTCCAGAAAGCTTGTATCGAGATCGATGGCACAAGCGCTAGCTTCCGTGTGACAGTTGTTCGGCTAAGGTGTCTATGACCAGTGCTCCACCAGAGAAAAGGCACAATTTCATACAGTTGAAGACTTCAAAGATGATCTTTTCTAGCAGGTCTCATCTGATGAGATTTCAGTTACCAGAGCATGGTAAACTCCACCAGATATATAAAATACTTAGCTCTCATGGGCAACTGCTTTTCTCAGGGGCTATGCACTTGACTTTCCATGAGCACTGCTTGCTAGTGAGCCCAGCCTTCTGAAGGCTCTCTTCCCTCGCCTGCTTAGCAGCTTGTATACATCTTTCTACTTTACCTTCTCTCCCAGTTCAGTGATGGTCCGTTCAATATCTGCAAAATTCATAGCTTCCACATTCCTGATGACTGGAACCACCAGACCCTGAAGGGGGTGAAAAGCTGTTTTCAGTTGCAAATTAATAGTACCTTTTATAGTTAACAACTCCCTTGATTCAACCCATGGTATGCCCTCCCTAGAATACCTTCATTACTCAGTGTGATTAACAGAAAGTGTTAAAAGAATGCGGCATGGTTTAAAAGAAAAAAAAGGTTACTTTTACTAACTCCCTTCTAAAAATACAGAATTAAAGAAATGATTTCTCTTGTGTGATCTCCTTCACACAGATAAGGTGAGGGTCTAAGACCAACATTCCCCACCTCCTGCCCCAACATACCCGTGGGGTGGCCACTGCAACACTGATGTCAATATAATCCCTATACACCACCTCTTTGGTTGTGTCGTCAATCACTATGAGAGAGAAAATACATGTTACATACAACTCCCCAGGAAGGCCAAGACTAATGAGGTAATATGTGCATTAACAGAGTAAAAATCTGCAGAGCTTGATACAGTGTGGGCTGACCAACCACCATGAACACCACTGCATTATGCATGGCAGCTGGCATTCCACTTACTCCCATCCCAAGTATAGTATCTCCCAAGTCCCTGACTGAGCCTGGGCATAGGAGCATCCATTTCTTTGGCAGCCCTAAGAAGGGCTCAACACACTGGCTTCCATAGGATAGGTATGCACTAAACTCTCGTTAAGTAGCTCTAGTCAAGCCCTCCTTTAGCAGAGAATGACTAGGGTTAACAAATGTTCCAAAAAAGGGCAAATTAGCAAAGGAAAAGGGATATAGAGATACTACCCATTCTCTGCTTCCAACTCTCAACAAGAGGAAGAGGGGAGATCCAAGAGTAAGCGGGGTGATCTGGCTTTGAAATATGCTACCTCAAGAGATGGCAAACCAGCATCTGAAAATGTACACCTAGCAACTAATGGGAAAATAAAGGCTTGGGAATCATTTCCGCAGAAAGTCCATGTTGTATTGTTAGATAAGACATCCAGAGGAAGCATGTAATGTGAAAAAGAGGCCACGAGAACTTTTGAGAGCCGCCTACATGTGTGGGCAAGCAGAAGGGGGCCACTGAAAAAGATGAGAGCCAGTCAGGGAGGCATGAGAAGAATGGGAAAAAGAAGAGGTATACATTTGGGCAAAACAAAGATGGCCTTCTACCTCCCTAGAGCACCACTCAACAGGAGGGACTAGGGCTTCTACTTCTAGACCTTTAGGGCCCCTGACACTGCTGAGGATGGCAAAAGTAGCACTGACCCCTCTCCAATCTCCCAAGGAACAGAGAAGTGTGTCAACAGGAAAACAAAGTGCTTGTTAGGTCAACACTACAATGACGTAGGTAAGTAAAAAGGAAAGAAAATAAGCACCAGGTCCATGAGAGGCCAAGCCGAAGCTCCCAGTGAGGCCCATCGACCTAAGATCAAAGGTCAGCCAGGAGCCTACACCAACTGTGGAAGTCAGGCCCCAAGGTAACAGGGCCTGTGGAGCTGGGGGAGGGGAGGAAGCCAGAACACGTGCTTCCACCTTGACAGGAGACAGCCTGGAGAGCTGGGCTATCCCAGAACTGCCTGCTGCCTGAGCAGCTGCCGAGCTGTACACTGGGAAGAGAAACTGTTCTGCCCAGCTGGCGGGTAGAAAGTAATCATGATGCTGCTTCAGGAAGGTGAACCAAGAAATCCCTGGGGAAGATACTGATATTTCTATAGGTAGCAAATAAAAAGCCTTGGTCTGTTGATCCTCTGCATGTGGGAGCAGGTCTGTGCTCATACACCTACCTCCCAGGACCTCTCCAATTCCAGCCACAAGCAACTCACCTGCATTTACAACAGGCTGTTCCTGCAAGGCAAAGGCTGAGGCCTTCACAAATGCCGACATGAAGCCTAGTTTGAGGTTATGTTTCTTCAAAAAAGCCTCTTTGTGCCGAGCCCTCATCTCCTGGATGTTACTGTGAAAATATTACAAAACAAACTGACCACAAAGCCTGCATTTTGACTTTCACACAGGTTTCTCAATCCATATACACAATTAGGTGAGAGCTTTTCCCTCACTCTGGACCATTACCTTAGTTCAAGTTTTGAAATAGTCTACCTGAGGTTAACACAGTAACTCTGTTCTTTTACAAAGAAATCTACAGGAATCAGGCCCAATCTGTCTTTAAGGTGGGTTGATCTCTTTACAGGGCTCCTTCATGGTCTAGAAGTCACAGATTTCAGTGACACATCATATGAACAAGAGATCACACAGCACACCAACATCCTTGCCCTGAATAACTGAGCTATCCATCCTGAAAAAAAATTTTTTAAAGTATAAACAAAATCTACAAAATAAGCAATATTCTTTTTATTTCTTGTTAGAATACAAAAAAAAAAAAAAAACCCCACCAAATCTGAGTATAACTCCCGTGTGATATTCCTCCTATCTCTTGATTAGTGGAGACTAAAATAAACAGCTCATGGGTACATGAGGCTCCATGCGGGAAAAAGCAGTCATGACTCTGCAGGGAAGGGTATAACCCAGTGTTCTTTCAGGCCCACGGAAAGTCATATCCGTTCTTCATCTTTCCAGGGTTGGCAGTTCCATCCACTTATTCTTCCAAACAGGTACTAACACCTTACTACATGTGAGGGTCAGGGCCAGGTACCAAGATACAAAGCTAATTAAGACATAGTTCTTGCCCTAAGATTAGTTTAATGGCTGTGATTTCCTTGGTATTTAGAAAAGTGGCCACTTGTGGTTTAGGCTGGTTCCCTTCAGATTAAGCAGCAAGCCTTCTGAAAAGCCTTTACAACATGAGCAGCCTTTATTCTTTTGGGACTGGTTTTTTTTCAATGACACATTGCAGAGTTAGTGAGAAATGGCTTTCCCATCACTTTGCTGCATAAACCTCAGTATTTATCGGAATGCAGTAATGCAGTTCTACGATGAAAATTGAATTTAACTTTATCTCAGGGCCAAATGCTCAGTTCTCCCTTTCTCCCTCTAATGGCCTAATTCGACATTAGCATGAAAGGTAAGATGTGGTACAATTTTAACAGCCCCCTTCAGATCTTTTGTTTTTGAAAAAGGAAGTTTTTCCAAGGGGGACTGATTGGGTTTAAAATGCTTGTTTTCCTGATTCTAACCTTATTTAGTGCTAGGATTACCACCCTAAAGACATTACTGGTTCCCAAGACACAAGAGCTGCAGAAGAGGGAAAGAGATGTGATAAACATCTCTGCTCTCAAACCTGCCCAAATGTTATTGTCTGGTCATTAAGTAGCTTCTATTTCAGAGCTCTGCCCTTGGAGGCAAAGGCTGGGACAATAGAGGAAGGGAGAAGGTCTCAGAAAGGTCCCTTATGGGTTAGCTGATCAGCACAAGACCCAAAGGGCACTCGATCTAAACCAAATTAGGCTGCAGCAAGACCGCAGGCCATTGTTAAGTGACACCTTGATTAGCTGCTGAAAGGAGATCCAGCTATTACGCTTCCTTTCCAATCAAAGCTGTTGGGCCAACTGCATCTTTCAGGGCCACAAATATTTACATGTTTTGTCTTAAGAAACTGGGTAGAATTTCAAAGTCCAATTCAATTTGTGTACAATTTGGCCCTAATGCACTGAAACATAAGCTGCAGCCTTTGTGATTCATTAGTCAAGGTCCTTCCCCTACATCCTATGAACAAGAGAGAAATCTTTGGCTTGAATGTCATCCAGTCTCTTCGGAAAGTTTCCCAACAGAATGGATGACATCTAGTAAAACAGGTCACAGAGCCCTACTCTGAACAATGCCACAGCGCACTATCAAGAAAACACTCCCTTCTCCCTATTTTTCAAACCCTTTCCAAAGAAAAGCAAATTTCTCTAATGAAAAGTAGATTCGCAGACTAAACCCTCAGGACAAAAAGAAAGAAAGAGATGACCTGAGACTTGACTTGCTTCCTGAATTAAATATAAACTCCTACCCTGGCATTCAAAACATTCTGAAATAAGGATCCAACCTTCTTTACCATTCTTTGCTATACAAAATCCTCACAACAGAAATGATTTTTGACAATTTCTCAAATGTGTCTTCTACTTTCCCATCTCATGGTCTACACTGTTAACATCATCTGGAATGACCTTTCTCCACAAGGCTGACAAAATGCTAGTCACTCTTGAAGACCTGTTTAAAAATTCTTTTTTGGCCAGGAATGGTGGCTCATGCCTGTAATCCCAGTGGGAGACCAAAGCAGGAGGATGGCTTGACCCTAGACGTTCAGGAGACCAGCCTAGGCAACACAGCGAGACCTTGTCTCTACAAAAACTAAAAAAATTGGCCAAGCCTGGTGGCACATGCCTGTAGTGGTCCCAGCCATTTGGGAGGCTGAGGCAGGAAGATCACTTGAGCCTCCCAAGTAGCTGAGACTATAGGTCCATGCCACCATACATAATTTTTTTTTTGAGACACAATCTCGCTCTGTTGCCCAGGCTGGAGTGCAGTGGCGCGATATCAGCCACTGCAACCTCCTCCTGGGTTCAAGCAATTCTTGTGCCTCAGCCTTCCGAGTAGCTGGGATTACAGGCATACGCCACCATGCCTGGGTAATTTTTGTATTTTTAGTAGAGGCAGAGTTTCACCACGTTGGCCAGGCTGGTCTCGAACTCCTGGCCTCATGTGATCCACCCACCTCAGCCTCCCAAAGTGTTGCGATTACAAGCGCAAGCCACCGCACCCAGCCCTCACTTGGCTAATTTTTAAATTTTATGTAGAGACAGTCTTGCTATGTTGCCCAGGCTGGTTTCCAACTCCTAAGCTCAAGCGATCCTCCTTCCTCACCCTCCCAAAGCTCTGGGATTATAGGCACGAGCCATGGTGCCCAGCGTCTATCCCCACTGAATTCCACAGTACAGTACTCTGTATACAGTACGCACTCAAAACACGTTTGTCAAATTTCTCTTCCTGACAGTGCTGATACTTGAACACATTGAAATCTTGAAGAAAACAGGTAAGTCAACAATTAGCTCACTACAGAAATGGGCATACCTAGTGAATTAGTACCTTTGGTTAACATTCTAAGGTTATTTAAAAACACAACTTGTTTTCCATTTCACTGTCAGAGCTGGGTAAAATGAAAGACAAGCCCAGCCTATCTTTGCCTTTTCATCCACTCGATTCTGAATCACTTAGGAAAATATGTAAGTGACGGGGTCAAACAATCCTCCCATCTCAGCCCCCCAAGTAGCTGGGGCTACAGATGTGCACCACCACACCTGGCTAATTTTTGTATTTTTTGTAGAGGTGGGGTTTCGCCTTGTTACCCAGCTGGTCTTGAACTCCTGGACTCAAGCAATCCGCCTGCCTCGGCCTCCCAAAGTGCCAGGATTACAGGTGTGAGCCACTACACCTAGCCAAGGCTAAGGTTAAGGTCATGGAGGAGGCAGGCATAGTATTAGGAAAGCCAATTAGAGAAGAAGCCAGCGGCTCACTCTGTGAAAGTTAACAATAAACAGGCCAGGCGCGGTGGCTCACGCCTGTAATCCCAGCACTTTGGGAGGCCGAGAAGGGCAGATCACGAGGTCAGGAGATCGAGACCATCCTGGCTAACACGGTGAAACCCCGTCTCCACTAAAAAAATACAAAAAATTAGCCAGGCGTGGTGGGGGGCGCCTGTATTCCCAGCTACTCTGGAGGCTGAGGCAGGAGAATGGCGTGAACCCGGGAGGCGGAGCTTGCAGTGAGCCGAGATCATGCCACTGCACTCCAGCCTGGGAGACAGCGAGACTCCATCTCAAAAAACAAAAACAAAAACAAACAAACAAAAAACAATAAACAAATACCTCTTCCCTGACAAGTTAGTTTTAGAATCAGCACTAGATAAGGAGTGGGGCAAGTTCGTGTTCTCTAAGAAAAAGGGGCCTAGGGGATAAGAGGGACTAGAGACACTACCTCATGTCAATCTCATTAAAAGTTGTCAGCATTGCACATGTATTCTGGGCCTCCTTCAGACGCTGAGCAATGCGCTGCCGCATCCTGTTCATTTTCTCCTGAAAGTAAGAGTGGAACAAGCATTGACAATCTGATCTCTCTGGGTCAAGCATTCCCCGTGTAGTCAGAAAGAACACGGCTTGCCACGAGTAGATGGCCAAGGACTACAGTATCTAAGTACACGAGCTCCAGGCTTCCCTTTCCTGTGGTGGCCCTTTCTCCTCCAAGCAAAAACATGCAAACACAGGCCAAAACTACTCACTCAGATGTGCCTAAAGCTTGACCAAGAATGAAGGCTCAGAAACAGTGATTTAAAAACCAAAACCCATTTATAAAAGAATGTAGTGTAGTGTAGTCTAGCCAACATAAGAATCATAAGAAAAAGGGCACTTTCTGTTGATAAAGATTTGCATAAGAATAGCTATTTGTGGAACAGAACCTCATGAGCAACAAACTTTCGAGGCTATCATATTTTTAGGAAGTATTCTCAGGCAGAGGAACCACAATCCTGACCATACTTCCTTGAGGCTTTATGTCTGCACCTGACAGCTATTGCTACTGAGTATTATCCCTTAGCTACAGCTAAGTATCCCAGAAGTATAGGAATAGAGCTCACTAAACCACCTCTCTGAAGCGTGTGACATCGTGGGAGGACGGGGGTGAGTTACTAAGCTACCACCCCTACAAATATTTAACTTACCCAAGGCTTTCACTGGTAGCATAATATAGTAGGAAAACCACTGAACAAGTGTTCAGAAGACCTCAGGTTCTAGTCCTATCATTTGATGGTTATGTGACTATGAAGAAGTTATATCCTAAACTCCCTTTATCAAGGTTGAGGGAATGAGCTGCCAGGCATTCAAAGGTAGGCATCACCACACCCATACTCCACTAATCTCAACACTGCCCCCTGCCTCTTTCCTGAAAGTGGTCCTCAGAGGCTTACCCGATGTTCTGAACGCAGACCTTTGCCAGCTCCTGGCTCAGCTAGTGGTGGGGCAACAGTGGGTTTTACTGCAGACACTGAAAATGAAAAGAGGATAAAGCTGCATCAGACAAGGAAAGAAACATCTGCTGAGTTTGTGCCAGTGCTTTCATATGTACTGTTACTTAATCTTCAAGATATTCTGAGGTATATTAGTATCACTCCAACTTCACAGATGAACAATCTGTTCAGATAAATTAAGTGACTAGCCTAAAGACACACAGCTAGTAACAGAAAGCTGAGATGCAAAGCAGGCCTTTGGATACAAAGTCTAGAATTCTTTCTACAAAGCAGCCAACCTGGCCTGTTCAGAACCATCATCAGTCTAGAGTTTACCCTTTGAAGGAACATATTAGACGAGATGTTCTCCCACATGACATGTGGGAGTTGGAAGCCTACCAGGTTTGCCAGAAGGAGGCTGTGAGGGCGAGGGCACCGGTGGCATCTGAGTGGGTATGGGTGCTGCAGGGGGAGGAACTGCCGCTGCTGTAGGTTCTGCTTTTGGGGCTGCAGCAGCAGGAGCTTCAGCCGGCTTGGCCTTAGCAGGAGCAGCTGAAAAACAAGAAAAGTATATGCCACTGGCACTGTCTGAAATGAGAAGCAACCAAGCAAAATTTAGTGGCAAAAACTCTAGCTCCAATCAAGTAACGAATGTCTACTGGGTATCAGCAATATGCAAAGCACTATGAGACACACACACAATGACATAAGGCACTATTCTCTAGTCCTCAGGGTCCCTAAATGTCCATCAGATAACTGGCTCAACTTAGCTCCCTTCCCAATTTCACAGGTTTCCACTGAATAAATTCAGCAAGTACTTTCAAAGCACCTATCAAGCCCAAGAAAATGTAAACTTCCAAGGAAAAAAAAAAACACCTAGGCAATTTAAAATATTGAAATGCATACATAAACATATTTCTAATTACTGATACTCTTCATCCTCTATTTTAACATTATATATGCAAGAATACTATTAAAAAATAGGCTGGGTGCAGTTGCTCACGCCTGTAATCCCAGGATTACAGGCCAAGGGATTACTCCCCTTGGGAGGCCAAGGCAGGCGGATCACAAGGTCAACAGATCAAAACCATCCTGGCCAACATGGTGAAAGCCCGTCCCTACCAAAAATACAAAAATTAGCTGGGCGTGGTGGCATGTGCCCATAGTCCCAGCTACTCGGCAGGCTGAGGCAGGAGAATCACTTGAACTCCGGAGGCGGAGGTTGTAGTGAATCAAGATCAGGCCACTGCACTCCAGCCTGGCGACAGAGTGAAACTCCATCTCAAAAAATAAAATAGTCATCGAGGGTTGACTTAGGCTTAAGAAAGCACTTCATCCAGGATGACTCATAAATCACTGAAGTGGCCAAGTAATAATCTCACAACTTTAAATGAAATGTTTGTTTCTGTTTTTCACCCATCTGGACATTATATCCAGGGTTAGTGCTAAGACAAACTTCTGCAACAGGAGGACTACCTTATTTCCCAGCCTTCTACCATACATGTTTTCTACTCTGAGCTTCTGGTCTTGCCTGACTAACCTCAATCATGCGGTCTATCTGCCTTATTAGTGTAACAGTGAAAAAGAAATAGACTTCTGTGACTCGTTGGTCTACGGGTACGATTCTCGCTTAGGAAAAAGAAATAGACTTTTTAGTGGTTATAAAATTTAACTAAGAGTCAGATAAAGTTATTAATCTCTAATCCTATCAGGTCCAGTACAAATTCGTTTCTCATTTCTTCCCAAAAGAAATACCAACCCTTCCTAGAGATATGAGAGAACAGATGTGAAAAGAAACAACACTGAATTCCCCATAAAAGACAATGAGCATTTCCTTTGAGCATTCTGTCAGTGCTCAAAAAGTTTTGAAGCATTTCAGATTTTGGATTTTCAGTTTTGGAGCATTTCAGATTTTGAATTTTCAGATTAGGTATGCTCAATCTGTATATCTATAAGAAAAGGTCCAGTTTCTCAGCTCCTGCTAAGAAACACCCATGGAAAGAACAGAGTATAAGGTTTATTTTTTAAAAAATACACTTTTCTTTTAGAATTTGACATTTGAAGTTCACACTATATATAAATTTACCCCTTATTCCCTCAACTAAGGGCAGCTGGAATGACAAGAGTCTTTGACATATCGGGGAATTAGCACATTATGCTCAGTCCCAATCCCAAGAGGGAACACTGGAGACCTTGACCACCAGGAGAACTTCTTTACCACCAGTTTTCCTGAGTGTGAAAAGTGGAGTGCCTCCTTCGACTTTTCCCCCATCAGGTACCAAAAGAGCTTCAATCACGCCATTTGCTGGTGATGGAACCTGCACAGATGTCTGGAAGAGGAAGACAGATGGAGGAAGTCCAAATGTTTATCCAGCATTAGAAAATTAGCTGTATAGAATCTCCAATGAAGCCAGGCACAGTGGCTCATGCCTGTAGTCCCAGCATATTGGGATGCCAAGGCAGGCGGATCACTTGAGGTCAGGAGTTCAAGACCAGCCTGGCCAACATGGTGAAACCCCATCTCTACTAAAAACTACAAAAATGTAATCCCAGCTACTTGGGAGGCTGAGGCACGAGAATCGCTTGAACCTGGCAGGTGGAGCCGATATCGTGCCACTGCACTCCAGCCTGGGTGATAGAGCGAAACGTCTCAAAACAACAACAACAACAGCGTATCTCCAGTGAGTAACAAGAGTTGCAACACAATATATAAGGCCTTGCACACAAACATCTAAGGCCATAATTTCAGAGCAAGGGTGATAACAAGTCATCGCTACTGTGAAGATTCACTTTCTGTCCTTTCTCAGAAACATTCAGGCAATATTCAGTTAATATGTTTCCAAGTGATACAGGAAAAAGTGGAAACAGCTTATTTACCCTCCCCACCCCCTCACCACACACTACAAGACTAAAGCTACTAAATGAAGTACATAGTACACACACAGCAAACAATTTAAAGTTAAATGCAGGTCAGGTGCGGTGGCTCATGCCTCTAATCCCAACACTTTGGGAGGCCAAGGCGGGCAGATCACCTGAGGTCAAGAGTTTGAGACCAGCCTGGCAACACCTGTCTCTACAAAAAATACAAAAATTAGCCCGGCGTTGTGGCATGCGCCTGTAAGCCCAGATACTAGGGAGGCTGAGGCAGGAGAATCGCTTGAACCCAGGAGGTGGAGGTTGCAGTGAGCTGAGATCAGGCCATTGCACTCCAGCCTGGGCAACAGAGCAAGTCTGTCTCAAAAAAAAAAAAAAAAAAAAAAAGTTAAATGTAAAAAGTTGTTTTTTTTTTAAATTGAACAAATCCAATAATTTTACAACTGAAGTTAGAGCTAGTTAAAAATTATCTCTAAACAATGGTTAAGTCCCTGTTTCTTTCATTAGGTTAACTAAGGGAAGCCCATGAAAAGCTGGTACGAATATAAGATAAGCCTACCTTGTCAGTTTCAATCTCACAAACCACTTCATCTTCTGCAACTGTGTCTCCAACAGCTGAAAAGACAATCAAAGGCTACAAGGCTACCTGTTAGCGGGGAGCCTCCAGTAGCCACAAAACCCATTTTGGCAGGTATGTTATAAGAACCCTTTCCTACAGGGCCAGCAGAAAGTACATATGTAAAGAAAACGGCAGAGCTATAAATTCTACAACTATCCTGAGGGGAGGGGAGAATTTTAGATAGCACTTAAACTTAAGAAGTGAGAGGAGCCAGGCGCAGTGGCTCACGCAGTGGCTCAGGCCTGTAATCCCAACACTTTGTGGCAGGCTGAGGTGGGCAGATCACCTGAGGTCAGGAGTTTGAGACCAGCCTGACCAACATGGTGAAACCCTGTCTCTACTAAAAATACAAAAAACTTAGCCAGGCATGGTGGTGGGCACCTGTAATCCCAGCTATTCGGGAGGCTGAGGCAGGAGAATCACTTGAACCTGGGAGGCAGAGGCTGCAGTGAGCCGAGATCATACCACTGCACTCCAGGCTGGGAACAGAGCAAGACTCTGTCTCAAAAAAAAAAAAAAAAAAAATAGGAAACTAAATCTTACCTTTCTCCCACCTGACATCTCCCTCTGTGACAGATTCTGCAAACGCTGGGGTTTTGACTGTAACCAAGTCATCCTCTAGGAAAAATGCAAAAAAGAAAATCATAAGTAGTTCATTTTTCCTTTTTAATATTTTTCTTTAATTAAACTCAATCAATTGTTGCTCTTCCCATAAAATTCCATTCCCAAGAAAGCAGGTACTTACTGCATACAGCTGTAGTTCTGAAAAAGCGAACACTGAAGACACTGTTGTTAATGCTACAAAAGAAACACACGTTAACTCCTTTTAACAGGCGAACCACTCACATTTTAGTCTAGTTAAGGCCCCATGGGTCACCTTCCCCTTAAACAGTGACTCTTGACCAGGGGTGTCCATCAGTGTCACTTGGGGAGGAACTTTTTCAAAGTTCACTTGTCTAGGCCTCTCCCCCAGGGATTCTGACTCAGCAGGTCTGGAGTAGAGCCTAACGACCCAGGTACCTTAAATGGTGAGCTCCCCAAGTATGCTCAGGCCCCTGTGCTGCAATGCAATGCCAACTCTCACAAAACAGACTTACATTTGGCTCTTTCAATAAAAAAATAAGCACCTTGGTCCTTTGCAGACCGAAATGACTTAGCTTCTTGATTTGGTTTTTTGTTTTTTAAGAGATAAGAGTCTTGCTCTGTCACCCAGGCTAGAGTGCAGTAGCATGATAATAGTTCACTGTAACCTCAAACTCCTGGATTTAAGGGATCCTCCCACCTCTGCCTCCCGGGTAGCTGGGACTACAGGCACATGCCACCCAGATAATTTTTTTAAATTACTTTTTGTAGACTATGGATTTCATTGCCCAGACGGGTCTCAAAGATCCTACCCAAAGTGCTGGGATTACAGGAGTGAGTCACCATGTCCAGCCAGGTCTCTTCCTTAACTAAATCCGAGATAGATTTACGGCCTGCCCAGGGTACAAGCCATTGTGCAAGGTATAATGGAATTTCTGCCCTCAAGATAACAGATTTAGATCAGATAAGGCAGCAAGATTAACAAGGTTAACTCGGAAGTAAAACAAGGTGTTATGCCAAAAAAAAAAAAAAAAAACCCAAAAACAAAAAAACCACACACAAACCCCATATGGTATCTCCTACTCGGTTCTCTTGCTAGAAAACAGCACATCAACACATTCTGGATTCATTCAAAACGAACCTCAAAGACCAAGGCGTTTACTGATATGGCCTTTACAGTAAATAATATAAACTGGAGAATCAGCTCACCCTGTATGCACAAAGCCATTAACAGTGGTTACCTCTGAGGGGTGAGAGATGTAGACATATATGGTATCTCTGGTTATGTGTTGCACACTTACACAATTTGGGAGAATGATTTGGATGGGGACTTTCACTTTTTACACTTCAGGATTGTCTGAATATTCCACAACAAGCATTTTTATAATAGAAAAGTAAAAGAGATTTAAGTTGTCTTTAGGTATTTTTACTTTTATAATGTCAAAATAACTATAAGGTCTATGTATAACCAAGAAAAAATGAAGATATTTAAAAACTACAAGAATACAAATTGTTCTACATATAGTTTGTAACCTTGTAAAGTACATGCCTATAGGCAAGAACTAACAGGTAACATGCAAGTGCAGAGGCTGCTCTGCAAGTCATCCAGGAACCCGGAGTGGTGGCCACCACTACCCAAGAGGCATTCGGGGGGCTAGAGGACAAGGATAAAAAAGTCTTCTCATGGACACCCTTTTTACTTTTTGAATTTTTAATCATGTAAATATAATACTATTAGTAAAAACATAAAACCAAAAATTGTTTTACAATAAAAGATTTATTAAATAAAGTGGGTACCTTATTCACAAAAAAGGCACAACACACACAAAGATACTGGATTAGGGTGACATGATTGGGGTGATCCCACACAAAGTTTACTTTTTCTTCATTATTTACTTTCAAATATTTAGTGTATTTATTGTAGAGAGTCATGATTGCCCCAATTTTCATTTGATTGCAGATGAGTAATACATTTTGAATCTCTAAATAACTAGATGTTCACTACAGAATATTAGAAATAGCAAAAAGAATACTTACAATGGGATCATACCACACAGTAGAAAATGAAATTATTTTGTAACCTGCTTTTTCCCACTTTTCATAGTGTGAACATGTGAACATGCTATAGTTTAGCCAATCCCTTGCTCTTTGCCATTTTAAGATAAATCTGATAATATTTATATTATCAGATATTAAATCTGAGATAAATATACCAGGAGTTCTTCAGTATAGATTCCTAGAGATGGAATTGCTAGATGAAAAGGAACACACAGGCCGGGCAGTGGCTCATGCTTGTAATCCCAGCACTTTGGGAGGCTGAGTCGGGCGGATCACCTGATGTCAGGAGTTTCAGAGACCAGCCTGGCCAACAAGATGAAACCCCGTCTCTACTAATACAAAAATCAGCCAGGTGTGGTAGCGTGCGCCTGTAATCCCAGCTACCCAGGAGGCTGAGGCAGGAGAATTGCTGGAACCCGAGAGGCAGAGGCTGCAGTGAGCCGAGATCGCGCCACTGCACTCCAGCCTGGGTGACAGAGCAAGACTCCATCTTGAAAAAAAGAAAAAAAGAAAAGGTACACACACTTCAAAGACTTATGACTATCAAACTGCCCTCCAAAATAACACCGGGATTCATATTTCTAGTACTGAGTGCAACATTTACTCAAATTTTAAAAAATCAGCCAGGCACCATAGCTCACGCCTGTATCCTCCACTTTGGGAGGCTAAGGCAAGTGGATGGATTGCTTGAGCCCAGGAGTTTGACACCAGCCCAGGTATCATGGCAAAACAACCCCATCTCTACAAAAAATACAAAAAACAACCGGGCATGGTGGCATGTGCCTGTAGTCTCAGCTACTCAGGAGGCTGAGGTGAAAGGATCTCTTGAGCCCAGGAGGCTGAGGATGCAGTGAGCCAAGATCAGGCTACCGCACTCCAGCCAAAGTGGCAGAGCAAGATCCTGTCTCAAAACAACAACAACAAAAACCCTCATTGTGATGTAGAGTAAGTAAGAAGCTCATCCGCTGACCTCTTCACTTTGAGGATTCTCCCTGTAGAGTAAGCAGCCTGACAGCTGCTGAACAGGTTACTAGAGAGCATTCTCTTAGCACCACCACAAAAACACTTGGAATGCAAAGCAGCATTTAAGCAACATTCATACGCAGAAGTTAATCTGAAACACACATGGGTAGCCTTTCTCCAAACTCTGCATTATGCAATAACAGCATTCCCTCCAAACTAGTCAGTCAGTCCCAGGACTCAACCAGTTTTATGCTTTTACTGTTTTTAAAAATGAGTAACTATGCTACTGAGAGGATGCTCTCAATCTCCACAATAAATGTAACCTCGAGCCTTTCAGCTGCACTTACATCCAAACAGAATATCTAGGAGCACCCTTCTATATCCCATAAAAAGAGGATTCCAACTTAACTTTCATTATAATCCAAACACCTGTGGAGAGTGGGCACACTCCCAGTCCAAAACCTGACACGGAGCTGATGCTCAAGGAACATCACATGGGAAAAGTGAACATTGAGGTTAGTCTAGGGACTCAACATAATCACCTCAATTTCTAGGTCTGGAGGCCAGTGAAGAAATCAGATGGTCAAATTTAGAACTTTATGTCTTTAAATAAATAACCCGTGGCCACATATCTGTACTCCCCAGTGATACTTACACAACCTTCCTGCTGTTAGGGTAACCTGGTCCCTGGCATAAGGAGACCCCTGCAAGAAACAAAATAACTCTTAACCAACAACTCTTATCTCACAAAGGATACATGCTGGGAATGGAAAAGGTCTGCTCACCCCCAACCCTGAGACAGAGCAGGATCAACGGCAACGGATATAATCTTTATCATAGAGTCCTGCTTCTCAAACTTTTCCAAAGTAGCCTTAGTGGCAGAGAGCAAATGGGTATGTGAGATCGAGTGGGTATGTGTTTGGCTGGGGAGGAAAGAGAAAAAATTTGATGGCACAGCCCAAAGTGATTATATAATCTCATCTACCTTAAAAAGCCAGAACTTTTCATTATTCCTGTATGTTTTCATAATAAAATGTCTCTACTCGCCAAGTCTTCAAATACAACTGAAGCTTGAGAAAGACATGGGATGGCTTATCCTGTGACTATACATAACCCAATTTGAGAAGCAAGGAGGATGTTTGGTCTGGGTTTGAAAAGATTGGGTTGGAAATCTTATCACCTGAATCCTAGTAGCAAAGACTTGGCTACTTTAGGCTCGGGGTCTCCAGTTTGTCCTAGAGCTGAGAAAATCATGTCCCCATCTTTCAGTTTATTGACTTCCCATGCCTTTCTGAAGTCTTCCACCCTGGTCACTCTCAACAAGGTGAGAGACCCTTTCTGCCCACCAGCTGTCCTTATCATAGTTAACTGCATTTCCCCAACTGATGACTAGTAACTACAGCTGCCTCTTCTGAATTCTTTCTTATGTCTTTTTTCTTTCAGATTAACAACTCTTTCTGAACCATGGGCTCAGGACACACCAAATGAGAGCTAGCCCTCTCTTATGCCCACCTCCTCACAAGCATCCCAAGATAGGTAAGCCAGTCACCTTTATGTCCAGCAGCCAATGACTATGCAGTGCAAATTCTAAGCATAGTATGTTTTTGAACTAGAATAGATGGCGGCTCACACTGATTTTGGGAACCTGGAGTCCAATTCAGAGTTCATCCTACAGCAAATTTCATTTGTACAGTGCTTTAGGGTTTATAAAAAGCTTTCCCATAATGACCTCATTTTGATTTTACAGTCTCACAACTCTCTGAAGTGGAACGACCATCTGCCATTATTCCCATTTCATATAAGTAGGACTTTTGGAGGTTAAGCGACTAGCCCAAGGTGAATCCCTGAGCCCAAATGCAAATCCCCAAGTGCAAGGCTCTTTCCATTGTCCTGCCCACCTATGAAGTGGAGAAAATGTTTACTGACATTGTTCAGGGTTCCCACTTGAAAAACATGTTTGTTATTGAGAGTCCACTACAAGCCGACATTGTGCTAGGGGCTTTATGTTCTCATAACTCTCAGGATAAAGTCCACACTTTACGCGATCCTGTACCGTCCAGCCCACTCTATCTTTCCTGCCAGACAGGCTTCTTCCCATGTCTATCACTGGTCAAGTCCTTTCCTGTCTGAAAACCTTTGCACAAGCAATTCCCTTTGCCTGGAATACATTTTCTTGGCTCTTTTATATTCAGGTCTCAGTTAAATGTCACTTCTTCAGGGAAGCCTTTACTGACATTCCCAACCTTCCCAAGCTGGTCTACATCATCCCACCCTCTCATCACACCCTTTAATTCCTCTCTCGTAGTAACCAAAATTTATGCCCTTGTCGGAGCATAAATGTATATTTGCTCTCTCTCTCCAGCTAGCCCATAAAATCTCGAGGCTAGAGTCTATCTATACCCCTGTTACCTAGAACAGTGGCTGGCATATAGTAAGCACTCAATAAATGATCTGTTGAGTCCATGAGTAAATGAGAACATGGTGGGTTAAGAGTTCAGGATGGGTCAGGTAGACCTGGCTTATCAACAGCTGGGTGGGTGACCATGGCCAAGGCTTTTAAGCTCTCTTGTCTTGGGTTATGCATTTGTAAAATAGAGAAAATACTTTTTACTGTTTTGAGATGATTAACTAAAAAATTCACAGAAAGCACTCATATAAATGCTTGGCACAAAGAAAGCCCACAACAAGGTCAACTCATTCAACAAATACTTAGGCTAGGCATATAACAGAAAAAAAGCTATGGATGACACTTTTTTCTTTTTAACTGCTAGGATAAAATCTAAACTCCTTCAGTCTCTATACCATCTTCTATCTCTTGCCACTCTCTCCCTTAACCAAAATACTCCGGCCAAATCACCTTTTTTCCAGCTCTTAAGTTCTGCCAACCTCTTTTCTTCCTCAGGGTCTTTGTGAATGCCATTCTCTTTCTCCTGGGCTTCACTGGGTTAGCTCCGTCACATTCTGCTAGCCATAACTTTTTTTTTTTTTTTTTTTTGAGATGGAGTCTCGCTCTGTCGCCCAGGCTGGAGTGCAGTGGCGCGAACTCGGCTCACTGCAAGCTCCGCCTCCCGGCTTCACGCCATTCTCGTGCCTCAGCCTCCCGAGGAGCTGGGACTACAGGCGCCTGCCACCACGCCCGGCTAATTTTTTGTATTTTTTAGTAGAGATGGGGTTTCACCGTGTTAACCAGGATGGTCTCGATCTCCTGACCTCGTGATCCGCCCGCCTCAGCCTCCCAGAGTGCTGGGATTACAGGCGTCAGCCACCGCGCCCGGCCATGGCCATAACTTTTAAGTCACCTCCTCAAAAAGGGCTCTTCTGTCCACCCTCGTTTCCTTCTCAGCAGTTACAAAAATTTGCCTTTGTTGGCTTGTTTAGCAACTGACACTATCCAACTAGCCTAGGAGCTCCACGAGGGCAAGAACTGTACACTTCTGTATCCACTCCTGTATCCCTAGCGTCTAGCACAGTGCCTAACACAGTAGAAACTCAACTACGAGCTAAATGAATAAGCGATAGCTCGTGATTATGTAGCATTGCGTCTCACTACTCTCTGAACCAAACTGTCTTTAAATATTATGAGAAACACAGGCACCCCCGAGTTCCTCACATACTGCTCTGCCCAGGAGGAGAGCATTTTAGGTGACGGTAAGGGCAGAACTTACCAGGCAGGGAACGTCTCCCTAGAGGGCAGTTCCCCTGTTGAGAAAGAAGACATTATCGACGTCACCCAAGATGAAAAAAAAACCCAGCTTTTTCTTTTAAGTACACGCTCAAAGCTGTCCCAGTGGTGGTGACAGGTGAATCTCGTAACTCCGAAGGTAAATGCAACACACCGTGCTGGCAGACCCAATCAACACGCTGGGCCTGCCAAACTATCTCAACTTCCCAACGGGACTCATTAATACCCACTGATTTTAACAGAGCAAGACGAGACGGGCGCCGAATCCCGCCGGAGGACTCCGCCGCGCCTCCTCCCTAACTCTGAGTCAAGTATCTGGACGGGCGCGGCTCCCCAGCTCCCGCGCGGAGGGTGGGGTACAGCAGGAAACGTTCCCCGCAGGCTGCCTGGAGAAGGCAGGGGGCCGCTGGGCTCCGCAAAACGGTCCCGAGGGCAACCACGGCCCCGGGCCGCCCAGCCCGCGCGGCCTCCGCGTCCCAGTGCCCTTGGTGCCCGGCCCGGCCGGCGCGCCGCGCCCCTGCCTTCCAGGCCGCCTCTCTGCCCGCCAACAGACTCCTCACCCGTCGGGGCCCCGGCTCGGCCAGACCGTACCTTCTGGAAGGCGGAGAGCGAGCGGCTGAACGCCCGAGACACACAGCGGGATCGGGACAGCATCACGGCGGAGGAGCCGAGGGCGGGCGGACACCGGATATAGGGCCGGACAACAACCGGAAGTGGGGCGGGCCGCAGTACCCGCCGCCCGACGAGGGGTGTTCGGAGCGAACCACTGGCAGGGGGTGGGCGCACGGCGGCGCCCAGTATCCCGGCTGCAGCGCAGGAGTCCCGCTCTCTGGAGCAGGCAACCCTAAGGCGCTCTTGGGGCCCTCCGCACTGCCTGTCAGCCTGAGGTGGTTCTCCTGAAGGTGTATACGACTGTCCCGCCACCACATTGCCCCCGGGGTCAGGCCTTCCCCTACCCTTCCACAGAACTGGCTCTGAGCTTGGCGCCCTTCTCTCTTGGGACCCGAGGGCACCGCGCCGTTCCGCCTCTGTACCTTGGGAAGAGAGCAAAAGAGGGGCACGGACATTGAACTGAAACCTTGGCAGACATGCATGCCTGATCTTACACTTGTGTGGCCTGGGGCAGATGACATTGCCCCCCACCCCCAGTCTCAGGTCCCTTAACTATTAAAAAAAAAAAAAAAGGCACTTGTTACTTCCCTGTCTTCCTAACCCCGAGTCAAAGAAACAGAATCCCAGGAATTTCTAAATCCCATTGCCTTTTTACGAGTCGGATATCTTCACCAACTATAGCCTTATTTCTCAACAGCTTCTGATCTCCCCCCAACGCAAATTCCAGCCAAACTAATTGTTCCCCATACATCTTGTGCATTTTGGAAGTTGTTCGTTTGTCACCCTATCCCTAGAATATAAACTCCCAGCTGTTTTTTTAAGAAACAAGGTCATAGTTCACTGGAGCCTCGACACTCTGGGCTCAAGCGATCCCTCTGCCTCAGCCTCTGGAGTAGCTGGGACTACAGGTGCCACCATGCCAGGCTGACCTCCCCACTTTGAGTGTGCCATTCTTCCCGCTGACTTGAAGTGAAAGCATATAGCATCCCCTTCCCCTCCTTAAGTATTCAGGCCCCTTGAGTATTCACCTTTAAGGCTCACCTTCCTAATGAAAAAGATGTGCTTTAAACCTCTGGCTGAATTAGTAACACATAAATGTATGAATGAATGAATGAACCACTTGGTGCCGTTCATGATGATTTCTTTATCTGAGGCATTTTGCCTGGCCCTCAGGACCTTTATTTTTTATTTTTCTAATTAATTTATGTTTTAATATAAATTGAGACGGGGTCTCACTATGTTGCCCAGGCTGGCCTCAAATTCCATCAGGACCTTTACAGTGCCTTCACTCACCTGAACCCTGAAAGCACTGCCACTGAAATTCTGGAAGGATGGGCCAAAGTCCTAACTAGAAATAGAGAAAACAGCTCTGCCCTGCTGCTACCCACAATTAACTCCTCAGTAGCTTTCACCTGAATTATTTGAAAAGCTCCCTAAGCAGTTCTAAGCCTCCGCTCTCGCTTTCTCTAGCCCATCATCCTTTATATCTGTGTCAAAGATCCTTCTGAGCCTGGTGTGGTAGCTCACGCCTGTAATCCCATCACTTTGGGAGGATGAGGTGGGTGGATCACTTGAGATCAGGAGTTCAAGACCAGCCTGGCCAACATGGTGAAACCCCATCTCTACTAAAAATACAGAAATTAGCTGGGTGTGGTAGTGAATGCCTGTAATCCCAGCTACTCGGGAGGCTGAGGCAAGAGAATTGCTTGAACCCAGGAGATGGAGGTTGCAGTGAGCCAAGATTGCACCACTGCACTCCAGCCTGAGCAACAGAGTGAGACTTCGTCTCAAAAAAAAAAAAAAAAAGAAAGTAAAGAAAAAAAAGAAATCCTTCTGAAATGCAAACCTAATCCTGTCACTCCTCTGATTAAAGTCTTTCATTGCTTCTCCTGGTCGGATAAAGCAAGGGAGATAAAGTTTATCTCCCTTGTAGGATAAAGTACAAACTCCTCAACTTGGCCAGGCACCTGATAATCAGGCCTCTGATTATGTTCTGATTCTCTCCCCACATTCTCACAGATTGTGAGCTTTAGTCAAACCACACTACTGGCCATAGCCTTGCTGAGCTATTTGCATGGGCTGTTTCCTCCTCCTATTTGCCTAGGAACTCCTAGTCATCCTTTAAATCTCCTTCTTAATCCCTTCCTAACCCCTCTGGCAGAGTTAACAGATACATTTTCTATGCTTCCAAAGCACTGTGTCTGGGTTTCTACATTGCATTTTATTGTAATGTCCTGTTTACCTGTCTGTCTCCCATGCTGCATAGAGCAGCAGGTGGAAAGAGACCACTCTCTATTTTCCTGAATTTTCCAAACACAACACCTGGGACATCAGAGTTCCTGGGACTCTGTAGGTACTCAATAAATATTTGTGGAATGACTAAATACTTCCATGTTTACAACATTGGTGGACACAGCTGAAGAATCCAAGAACGGTAGTCAGGGGCTATGGCAATTTCTTGCCAGTGTTGCTGTTAATATTTTTCTTAGATAGCTACCCAGTCCTTTCACGGTCTTTTTTTTTTTTTTTTTTTTTTTTTTTTTTTGAGATAGAGTCTTGCTCAGCTGCCCAGGCTGGAGTGCAGTGGCATGATCTCATCTTGGCTCACTGCAACCTCTGCCACTCGGGTTCAAGTGATTCTCCTGCCCCAGCCTCCCGAGTAGCTGGGACTGCAGGTGCGTGCCACCATGCCCAGCTAATTTCTGTATTTTTAGTAGAGACGGGGTGTCAGACAGGGTGTCACTGTATTTTTAGTAGAGACAGGGTGTTGGCCAGGATGGTCTCAAAATCTTGACCTCATGATCCGCCTGCCTTGGCCTCCCAAAGTGCTGGGATTACAGGCTTTCACAGTCTTTAACAATTTTTGAGATTCTTATAGAAGGTGTAGAGGCTTCAGGCTGGGCACGGTGGCTCACGCCTGTAATCCCAGCATTTTAGGAGGCTGAGGCAGGCGGATCACGAGGTCAAGAGATCAAGACCATCCTGGTTAACACGGTGAAACCCCGTCTCTACTAAAAATACAAAAAATTAGCCGGGCCTGGTGGCGGGTGCCTGTAGTCCCAGCTACTAGGGAGGCTGAGGCAGGAGAATGGCGTGAACCCGGGAGGTAGAGCTTGCAGTGAGCTGAGATCATGTCACTGCACTCCAGCCTGGGTGACAGAGCTAGACTCCGTCTCAAAAAAAAAAAGATGTAGAGGCTTCAAGACTTCAAGCCTGGTTATAATGTGGCAAAGCACTTCTGGAGTTTTAGTGATCACCCAAGTTAATCTTAGATATTACAGTCTAAAGACACCACACACACACACACACACACACACACACACACACTCGAGCATGGTTTCATACAAAATCCCATTGAGAGGGTAAAAGTTGAAATTGATTTCCTCGAGATTCACATACGAGCTTCCATGGACTCCAAGCTGCAACCCAATAAGCTAGGGCACTCCTTCATTTAGAGCTTCCCAAGACACAGCACCATCTACTGGGGCAAGAGTTTATGAATATAAATTGTGGCAGGGCTCAAAAGAGAATTTTTTTTTTTTTTTTGAGTGGAATCTCACTCTGTTGCCAGGCTGGAGTGCAGTGGCATGATCTTGGCTCACTGCAACCTCTGCCTCCTGGGTTCAAGCGATTCTCCTGCCTCAGCCTCATGAGTAGCTGGGACTACAGGCGCCCACCACCATGCCCGGCTAATTTCTGTATTTTTAATAGAGACAGGGTTTCACCATGTCGGCCAGGATGGTCTCGATCTCTTGACGTAGTGACCCCTCCACCTTGGCCTCCCAAAGTGTTGGGCTTACAGGCGTGATCCACTGTACCCGGCCCAAAAGATAATTTTTAAAAACATTTTCATTGTAAAATACGTATTAAAAAGGATATAAAAATCTATGTGTCCAGTTTAAAAGAAAAATAATAAAAGGAATTCCCATACTTGCTGCCCAGCTGAAGGAATGGAAAAGTTCCCTGTGGTCTCCTCCATCATCACACCCAGTTAGCCACTACTATACTGAATTATATATTAACCATCCCCTTGTTTTCATTATAGCTTCAATATGCTTATGTTCTATACACATTTTTGCCTGTGTTTTTAAATTAAGAAAAAGATGTCTCCAGCAGTGGTCTGATATAGAAAAAAATAAAAAATGAAAATGAAAGATGTATTTACTTTCAAATTAAATAAGAAAAAAGGTGTGTTTTTAGAAAGGATTAAGTAGCTCATTTACCTCAAATCCCCCGGTTTTCTTATGTGTGTTCTGAACCATACATTCACATCCTTGCCTATGAGTTTATGAATATTATCGGCCAGCTAGTAGATGGGGCTATAGCCTATGCTTCCATCTTTGGGCTCCTTAAAATAGGGACTATGCCCTATATTCACTCAGTGTTACCTATGATACCTAGATTCCATCTATCTGTCTATCTCTTCATTCAGTTGTAATTCAAAATAATGGACTGATGAATACACAATGAAAATCTAGACATGTTTTTGTGTGGGTATTTTTTTTTGGTCTATTTTTTAACTTAGTAGAAATGGAATCACAGTGCCTGTATCATTCTGTAACTTACTTCTTTTTTTTTTTTTTTTTTTGAGACGGAGTCTTGCTCTGTTGCCCAGGCTGGAGTGCAGTGGTGTGATCTCGGCTCACTGCAAGCTCTGCCTCCCAGGTTCATGCCAGTGTCCTGCCTCAGCCTCCCAAGTAGCTGGGACTACAGGCACCTGCCACCATGCCCGGCTAATTTTTTGTGTTTTTTAGTAGAGACGGGGTTTCACCGTGTTAGCCAGGAGGTCTCAATCTCCTGACCTTGTGATCCACCCACCTCGGCCTCCCAAAGTGCTGGGATTACAGGCGTGAGCCACTGCGCCCACCCTTTTTTTTTTTTTTTTGTAATGGGGTCTCACTCTATCGCCCAGGCTGGAGTACAGTGGTGCAATCTCGGCTCACTGCAACCTCTGCCTCCTGGACTCAAGCAATCCTCATCCTCCCACCTCAGCCTCCCAAGTAGCTAGGACCAAAAGCACATTTTTTTTTCTTTCTTTTTTTTTTTTTTTTTGGTATTTTTGGTACAGATGCGATCTCTCTATGTTGCCCAGGTTGGTCTTGAACTCCTGGGCTCAAGTGATCTGCCCGCCTCAGCCTCCCAAGGTGCTGGAATGACAGGCGTGAGCCACTGAGCCCAGCCTCTGTGACTTACTTCTTTCAGTCAACATTGTATTTTGAGGATTTGTCCACGTTGATGAGTTGAGCTGTGGTTTACTAATTTTCATTGCTGTATTTCACAACATCCCCTCCACTTCTCAAGCTGAAGGAGGAGGGGAAGGCAAAATTTGGGTTACATTCGGGAGTAGGTGGGTTTGGCCAGTGAGTTCTCCCAGATCTGTCAGGGATGGGTGCTTTTGGCCCAGCAGCAGCTTCCTCAGCAGTGTTCAGGCCTCTGTGGGAGGGAGGGACCACGCAGCCTCTCCTTCCTGCAGATCTGAGATGCCATGGTTTGCTGTTGGGCTGATTCCAGTCTTCTCAGGATGCTTGAGGGACAGGGAGAGGATGTTCATATTGGAGCTGCCTCTCTGGGGAATTTGAAAGCAGAAGTCAGGAGCTTCCCGCTGGAGGCCAGAGCAATGAGAGAAGCTGGGTGATTCAGTCCCCAAGTTTTCAAAGGGCTCTGTGGTCCATAGGCAAAGACAGAAGAGATGGCATTTCAGGAAGGCCCTCTCTGAGCTGGCTTTTCTGGGCACCTGAGTTGGGGTGGCGTTGAGAAATGGCATGGGGGCAGCCAACCAGCTGGCCTCAATTTGCATATTCATAAGCCCCCCATGCCGGTTGGCTGCGCTAAGCAGCCCCCACTGTCCCCAGAGTCAGCGGCTGCAGCAAGACTGGGTCTGTCAGACAGTGCCTTGTGCTAAGAAGGGGCCAGAGCCTCCCCTCACCCAGCCACGGGCACCCGGCCTGCCTGGAGAGGAAGCAGGGAAACCAGAAGCACTTCCTGACCATGGCTCTGTCTGCCCAGGGCTGGTGAAGAGTGGGCTGCTCCGTCTTCTAGAGTGGTTGGCCCCACCTGGCCACAGAGCCCAAGACAAGGACCTCCCAGAGGACCTCTTCCCTGTGAGTAACATCATCCTTTCCATTTACCTTGCCAGAGTACTTTTTAAAAAATTATGGAACATTATGAAAATTGTCAAATATGCAGAGAAGTAGACAGAGTAGCATAGCAATACCCACCCCTATACTCATCACCTAGATTTAACAATTGTTCATATGTATTTGCTTATTTTTGTTGGCTGAAATACTTTCAGGCAAATTATAGACATGGAGACATTTCACTCCCTAATTCCTCACTCCATAATACTGTGTATGCATCTCTGGAGCCCTTTTGAAGCTCTTCTTTCATTAGATTCTCACCCAAGTTCTCAGTGAAGGGATGATTATCATCTCCATTTTATAAAAGCTGAAACGCAGAATATGCGGCTTTAGGGCCAATGACTGGGAGTAGTGCCCAGACCTCCTAACTCCCAGCCCAAGTGCTTGTACAGCCACATGAAAGGATCTCTGATGTCCAGGGGTGTTTTCCTAGAGAGCAAGGAGGCATTGCAGCTGCTGTGTGACCTTGGGCATGTCACCTTACCTCTCTGGGCTCCTGGTTCCTCATCCATAAAGTAAAGGCATGTCATGAAGATCCTCGGACCCCTAACGCTAGCCTGTGACATTTCCCTTGGTTTTTAGAAAAATGAGAAAAGACAATGTAAAGAGTTTTTCGCAAAGCTAAACTTATTTGCATATTATGCATTTCCCCCTTTTATTCTTTTAAAAACAAAGTGGTTAAGATTTTATTTTATTTATTTTTTATTTTTTTTTGAGATGGAGTCTTGCTCTGTTGCCCAGGCTGGAGTGCAATGGCACGTCTCAGCTCACTGCAACCTCCACCTCCCGGGTTCAAGCAATTCTCCCTGCCTCAGCCTCCTGAGTAGCTGGGATTACAGGCATGCACCACCACGCCCAGCTAATTTTTGTATTTTTAGTAGAGACAGGTTTTCACCATGTTGGCCAGGATGGTCTCAAACTCCTGACCTCAGGCGATCTACCCATCTCAGCCTCCCAAAGCGCTGGGATGACAGGCGTGAGCCACCCCGCCCAGCTAAGATTCTTTAAGAAATAAAAATCATGTGTCATGAAGGGAGATGAAAAAATTTTAAAGAGGAAATAAAAGTGATGGTAGATAGTAGTCTTTTGTATACTTATTTTTTGTGCCTTCACCTGCAAAATAAAATGTCAGTAACTCTCAAACTGGTCCAATATCTTTCCTCTTCGTTTCATTTTTTATTTTTAGTAAACCAATTTTTATTCATTTTAAATAAGTTTTAAACTACTTTTGTTTTGGGGGCTTTTAAAATGAAAACTGAGTTAGGTCCACTCCAATGCCCACTGATTTATTTTTAGGAAATTTGTATAGGCCGGGCGCGGTGGCTCACGCCTGTAATCCCAGCACTTTGGGAGGCCGAGGTGGGTGGATTACGAGGTCAGGAGTTCAAGACCAGCCTGGCCAAGATGGTGAAACCCTGTCTCCACTACAAATACAAAAACTAGCTGGACTCGGTGGTGGGCGCCTGTAATCCCAGCTACTTGGGAGGCTGAGTGAGAAGAATCGCTTGAACCCGGGAGGCAGAGGTTGCAGTGAGCCAAGATCACGCCACTGCACTCCAGCCTGGCAATAGAGCAAGACTCCATATCAAAAAAAAAAAAAAAAAAAACTTGTATGATGCTGGCAGGTCATCCCAAAGCTCTGAAATCATATCTATCTTGATTTCCCATTCTGCAGCTTTCTTTTCAACATGTTCTCTGAGGATTTGTGTAAAGAATATACTGCTGTTCTTGCCATTTCCAAAGCGGTCTTTAGAAAAGCCATATCTATCCCTTTATTATTTTTGGTCCCAAAAGGCGGATTCATAATTACTGTATCAAATGACTTGACATCCTGTTAGATAACAGGCACACATCACATTGAACCATGTCAATATTTGTTAACTCAAACTCTTCCACATTCCTATTAACTATTTCCAATACATCTTCATCTCTGTCAAATCCAACACAGAACCCTGCTCCTCACACTGCAGTTCCCATGCTAAGCATTCCACCACTACAGCCTAGATCTGCAAAAACTTCACTTTCAATGTCATCATAAGTGCTATGGATTGCATACAGCATACATGCTGCAATGTGAAGCTTGGTGGGATACTGTTCTAGAAGTAGCTTGGCCTTTTCGAATCCATCCACTTATTGCAGGTGACTCTCTAGTTCCTTAAGCCTTAATTCCTTCATTTTGTTTTTTTAAAAATATGGACTCTCAGGGTTTGAAGGCACAGGATCTCAGGAGGCGACTGGCACCTTGGCCGGGGCCAGAAGACCTCTTCATTTTATTAATGGTTGACATCTAAAAATATAAAAATCTGGAGACCAGCCACTGTACCAGATGCTCCTAAGCCCTTTCCAGCTCTGGAGTTCTATGGCTGTGGGGGCTCCTGAACCCCCCCTAGGAGGAAAGGAAACCAGTTTAAGGAGTGCCTATTTCCCGCACCAGAGAATGCAAGGCCCACCACATGTGATCCTCACCACAATCCTAAGAGAGTGACTGTTATCAACCCCATTTTACAGCCAGAGAAACTGAAGGGGAAAAGGCAGAGTTAATTTGTGTAAGTTCACATAAGAGCTAACAAAGGGCTGGGCGCGGTGGCTCACGACTGACTGTAATTCCAGCATTTTGGGAGGCCAAGGCGGGCAGATCATGAGATCAGGAGATTGAGACCATCCTGGCTAACATGGTGAAACCCCGCCTCTACTAAAAATACAAAAAATTAGCTGGGCATGGTGGCACGTGCCTGTAGTCCCAGCTACTCGGGAGGCTGAGGCAGGAGAATCACTTGAACCAAGGAGGTGGAGGTTGCAGTGAGCCAAGATCGCCACTGCACTCCAGCCTGGGTGACACAGCGAGACTCCATCTCAAAAGAAAAAAAAAATAGCTAACGATTCCCCCCAGGTCTAATACCTGGTAGATCATTCCATAGTTCACAGCCATGCAGTGGTTGATGCAGACCACCAGGGCTTCTGACTCCATTGTGTCTGTGTCTGTGGATGGACAGGGCTGTGTGGCCTGGGCCTGTCAGTCTGACCCCCTCTCCTCATTTCTGTCATTAGCCAGTGCAGTGAAGAGAGCCTGTTCAGGGCTGGACCAGAGATGGATGGGTGGCCTCCGACCTGTAGCAGAGTGGGGACAGTGCAGGGGGCCTCTCATCATAGAGAATAAAACAGGACAAGGCTGTATATGAAAATGCCTTTGAAAAGCATAAAAACGCTATGTGACTTTGAGATGTGCTACCCTGAACAAGTCTTCATCAGTAGCAAAAGTTAGCTCTGTCTGGCAAGTATTTGGATGGGCGGCTGTTCAGGAGTACAATGGGTAAGGCAAAAATGTATTCATATACAGATGTGATTAAGTCATCATTATTATGAAATGCCAGTGGTGGGCCCTTAGATCCCATAATGAGTGTTGATGAAGGTAAAAGCAGCTGTTTCAGGATAAGGCATTTTCCTCCATACCTTTCCAATCACGTTGGGTGGTCATCTACTAAGCACAAGGCTGGTCCAGTTGGAATCCAACTGAATCTAGGAAATGAATGAACAAAATACTGCAAAGAAAAACATGTTTTCCCAACAAAAACCAGGCAGGAATTTTATCAAGGAAATAACAATAAAACTGCTTGTATAAATCTGATTTGAGCTTCAATGACAGTGATGAGAATGAGTTAGCATCTCTTGGGCTTCACGAGGTACCTTTTACCTAAGGACTCTCCATAGCCCACCTTGCTTTATTGATTGGTTCTCTTGTGACCCAGCTGAAGCGCATCAAAGGTGTTTGCTGTTCCCTAAATGTGTACACATCACAGAAGGGGAGACATGGCCTGTGAGCTGCCAGTCTCACCTCAGCTGGCCTCATAGGCAGCCCTTCCCCTTTGTCCCACTTGGGCAGAGCTTCGGGAGCTCTCCAGGGATATTCCATGGAAGGACATAGACCCACAGGGAGAAAGGCTGCCATGTAGGAGGTGATCTGTGCAGGTGATGATGCCACAGACACTGGCTGTTCCTTTTCAGCTCATGCCCCGGTGCTCTAACACAAAGCTGAAAGGAGACAACACACAACTTCTCTCGTATGTTCTTGTTTGTTTGTTTGTTTGTTTGAGACAGGGTCTTGCTCTGTTGCCCAGGCTGAGTGCAGCGGTGCTATCATGGCTCACTATAGCCTCGACCTCCTGGGTTCGAGGTCCTCCCACCTCAGCCTCCCAAGTAGCTGGAACCACAGACAGGTGCCACCACATCTGGTTAATTTTTTCTATTTTTTGCAGAGATTGGATCTGATATGTTGCCCAGGCTGGTCTCGAACTCCTGGGCTCAGGTGATCCTTGAGCCTTGGCCTCCCAAAGCACTGGGATTACAGGCGTGAGCTACCACATCTAGCCTTATGTCGTCCATTATATACTTGAAATTCAAACTCACCCTCATTTTACATTTTCCAGCTATAAAATCCTATGTGCCTTCGCAGTTATCTTATAAGCCCTGTGTTCTATGCTTGTGTTTGTAGCTAAATTTGCTTCTCCAGTGGGGTTTTTTATTTCTGGTACCGAGGAATATGTATCTGGGAAAGAGTTAATGAGAAAAAAGTGCAGTTTTTTTAAAAAAAATAGACTTTATTTATTTTACTTTATGTTTTTAGAGACAGGGTCTTACTTTGTTGCCCAGGCTGGAATGCAGTGGCTATTCATTGGCATGATCGTAGCACACTACAGCTTTGAACTCCTGGGCTCAAGCAGTCTTCCCACCTCAGCTTCCTGAGTAGCTGAGACTACAGGTAAGCACCACCACATCTGTCTAGACTTTATTTATTTATCTATCTATTTATTTATTTTTTTGAGATGGAGTCTCGCTCTGTTGCCCAGGCTGGACTGCAGTGGCTTGATCTCGGCTCACTGCAACCTCCACCCCCGTGGTTCAAGCAATTCCCCTGCCTCAGCCTCCCAAGTAGCTGGGATTACAGATGCATGCCACCACGCCCAGCTAATTTTTTTGTATTTTTAGTAGAGACAGGGTTTCACCATGTTGGCCAGACTGGTCTCGAACTCCTGACCTCAGGCAATCCACTCCCCTTGGCCTCCCAAAGTGCTGGGATTACAGGCGTGAGCCCCTGCGCCCGGCCTAGACTTTATTTTTTAGAGTGGTTTTAGGTTCACAGCAAAATTGAATGGAAAGTACAGAGATTTCGCATATATCCCCTGCCTTCAACATGCATAGCTTTCTCCATACATGCAAATGTTTAATTAACAAAGGCAAGATTGCCTTTTTTCATTACAAAACTGAAAACATATCCATTAAAAATTTAGAAAATTCAGAAAAATAAAAAGAAAAAATAGAGAAAAAAATTACCTGTGGTTCTATTACCCATAAACAACATTTTGATGTATTTATTTCTCTATAATGTATGGGCGTGTGTGTGTGTGTGTGTGTGTGTGTGTATTTTTTTTTTTTTTTTGAGGCAGGCTTTCCCTCTGTTGCCCAGGCTAGAGTGCAGTGGCGCAATCAGAGCTCACTGCAGCCTCAACTTCTTGGTCTCAGTGATCCTCCTGCCTCAGCCTCCCTAGTAGCTGAGACTACTGGCACAAGCCACCACAATGCCCAGGTGATTTTTTTTTTGGAGAAACAGGGTTTCGCCATGTTGCCTGGGCTACTCTCAAACTCCTGAGCTCAAGCAATCCTCCCACCTTAGCCTCCCAAAGTGCTAGGATTACAGGCATGAGCCACCATACCTGGCCTCATATTTTTCTTTGTATTTTTAATATCTAATTTTCTCTTACCCCCCCACTCCAGTTTTATAAAATAATGTTACATAAACTTTACTTAAACACTATTTTTCAAAACGGTTGCATAATATGGCATCATGTAGATTATACCATACCTTAACTAGTGCCTACTCTTATTAATAATACTTGGATGGCCATCTTTGACATAAATTTATGAGTCTAGCCATCATTTTCTTGGCTTAACTTCATAGACATAGACTCACTGATTCAAATGGTATAAACATTTTTAAGTTTCTTAATATACAATCCATGAATATTTCCAAAAAATATATGAAAACTGAGCAAGATTACTGAGAATCAAAGAAATACACATAATGAGGTAACATTGTCACCTACCATAACGGCAAAGATTTAAAAGACAATGCCCAGCGTTGATAAAGATAAGGAGATGTATGTTCTTTTATAGATACATTGGTAGGAGCATAAATTGGCTATTTAAAAGTATATATATACAAGTAACACACGAATATATTCTTGTAAAAATTCAATTAATATAGAAATACACAGAGTAAAAGTTGAGATCAGGCATGGTGGCTCATGCTTGTAATCCCAGCACTTTGGGAGGCCAAGGTGGGTGGATCACCTGAGGTCGGGAGTTAGAGACCAGCCTGACCACCATGCAGAAACCCTGTCTCTACTAAAAATACAAAATTAGCCGGGTGTGGTGGTGCATGCTTGTAATACCAGCTACTTGGGAGGCTAAGGCAGGAGAATCGCTTGAACGTGGGAGGCAGAGGTTGCAGTGAGCCGAGATCACGCCACTGCACTTCAGCCTGGGCAACAAGAGCTAAACTCCATCTCAAAAAAAAAAAAAAAGTTGAAGGTTCTGCTTCAGTCCCTCCTCTCTACCCCCAGTCAGTTGGTACATTTCTGGAGGACAGTTGGAAAAGAAGTAGAACAGTTTAACGTAGTCTCAGCCTTTGATGCAATATTTTCACTTCTAGAAATGTAGTCCCCAAAGAAATATGTAGGAGTGTTAATCCCAATATTATTCATAATAACAATAGCTACAACTTATCAGCAATAAGTAAGTGCCAGGAACTGTTCTAAAAATATAACATGTGTTAACTTATTGGATCCAGATGTGAATTCCACAATAACCATAGATATTATGGTTATGCCCATTTTACTGATGAGAAAACTGAGGTACGGAGAGGTCACAAACTTAGCTAAGTGGCTCTAGGGATTCAAGTCTAGGCAGTCTGATTTGTGGGTCTATGTTCTCCATCTATCTCCATACTATCTTATTTTTTTTTTTTTTGAGACGGAGTCTCGCTGTCGCCCAGGTTGGAGTGCAGTGGCGTGATCTCGGCTCACTGCAGGCTCCGCCCCCCTGGGTTCACGCCATTCTTCTGCCTCAGCCTCCCGAGTAGCTGGGACTACAGGCGCCCGCCACCATGCCCAGCTAATTTTTTGTATTTTTTTTAGTAGAGACGGGGTTTCACTGTGTTAGCCAGGATGGTCTCGATCTCCTGACCTCGTGATCCGCCTGCCTCAGCCTCCCAAAGTGCTGGGATTACAGGTGTGAGCCACCGCGCCCGGCCTGTCTATGCTTCTATAATAGTGAAAATATAAGAAGGAATCTATCAAAGGAGAACTTGTTAAGTAAATTAGGGTACATCTATACAATGGAATATTATCAGCTTTCACAACGTTGCTGTAGATTGATATTCATCCACATGAAAGATTTAAAAATGGAGGCATAAAACTATATATCTATAATACCATTTTTGTTTATATATATATATATATATATATATATATATATATATATATATATATAATTACGAGAAATTATAAACTTCTCTGTACATGGAGAAAAGAGCTTGGCAAAAATGATGAACACCAAAATTTTAACTGATTTTCTCTGGGAGTGGCATTAGAGTGTCTTTCTTTTCCTCTTAATACATTTCTATATTTGGGAAGTAAAATGATCCTACATTACTTTCATCGTCTAAGAGATGCAATAAAGCTATTTTTAAAGGATTATGACAATTGCTACCTCCATCAGTGAATATGAGAGTGCTAGTAGCTAATTTTCAAACAGAAAGCATCACTGCTTCATGCAGACTTACCCAGATAAAGGGCTGTGGGCAGCACGCCGGCCTCAGCACAGAGGTTTCCTGTTTCTCAGCAGCCCAGAGGCAGAGTTTCCATGATTGCATGGGCGTAAACATCTCTGGGTACCCAGCCACAGTGGAGTCTGGCTGGATTTCCAGTTTCTGGCCTCAAGATATTTCTGTTCATTGTTGCTTCATTAAACACACTGGTCCCATCTGTTACCCTAGTAGATCTGTCTTCTGGAGCACACAGACTACACGGAACCTCAGAAACAATACCTTGAATAACCCACAAGGGAGATTCAGCAGCTTTAGTGGTTCTATGCTCTTCTCCTCAATGACTCTATCTACCCGTCTGTCTTTCTGTCTGCATTGATTTTGTTCCATGCACAAGCCTCCATGCTAGGTGCTAGAGAGATCTGAAATAAAGTATTGTCTATTGAGGAGACAAAAATCAATATAAATGAAGTATTTATGGACAATTTATTCAATGGAGTTAGCAAACATCTGGTAACATCTGGCAGTCAGGCACTACTTGGGAACACAAAGAGGGAGCTCACAGACCAAAGGGGAAGATGCATTGATCACTTCAGAGAGGAAGTGACATTTCAGTTGGATTTTGAAAGAGGAATAAGAGTTTGTCCGTGGAAAAGTGGGAGAAGGGCTGGTCGGGCCAAGAGAATGTAAATGCAAAGACACGGAGGCTGGAAGGAGCCTGGCCTGTTCAGTGAACACAAAGTCCAGGACAGCTGGACACAGGCAATTGTTGAGGGTAGTGGCTCCAAAGGAGTTAGATCGAGACCATGTTTGTGAAGAGCTGAGACATCTGAACCTTCTAGTCCACAGGAAGCTAGCAAAGACTTTGATTCCATAGAGGGGCATAAGCAGAGCTAGCTACATTTTAGAAGATTAATACCAGTGGCAATGTCATGGGGAAAATGGAAACAATCAAAAGAAAATTTCCACCAGTTCCCATCACATTTATCCACCTGCCTGTACTGGTGTGCCTCCACTGCTCTTCCTTTTGCTGCATGGATGAACTGAGCATTCCCCTGTCTAAAGTCAATCCCTCCTTGTGTGCACTAGATCTCTTCCCCTCCTTCCTACTCAAGCACATGGCTCCAGAAATTCTCCCCCTCTTGCCTACATTAACATATTTCATCTTTCTGCAGCAACATTGTTATCAGCCTACAAATATGCTGTTATTCTGCCTATCTTGAAAAACTCTCTCTTGACCCCATTTTCTCTTTCAGCACTGTCTCATTTCTGTCCTCTTTACAAAACTCCTTGAAAGAGTTGTCAGATTCAATGTCACCTACTCCTCTTCTTGTCCTCTCCCTTAAATCCACGTCAATCAGGCTTTTTTCTCCCTGTACTCCACCAAAACTGTTGATCAAGATTCCCAGTGACTCCACATTACTAATTCAAATGGCCAATTTACTATCCCTTTGTGACTTGGCCTCTCCCTCCTCCTAGAAACATTTACTTCACTTGGTTGCCAGGACCTCGCACACCCCTAGGTTTCCCCCTGCCTCTCTGACTGCTCCTTCTCAGTTGCCTTGGTTGATGCCAGCTCATGCCCCCAGCCTCTTCATGTCCCTGTGTCCCAGGACTTGGACCTTGGCCCTCCTCCCTTCTCTGTCTACATTTACTCCCTTCGTGACCTCATCCAGCCACATGCTGACCACCCTCAATTTTACATTTCTAGCCCAGATCTCCCTGACTGAACCCCAGGCTTATTTCTACAATTGCTTTCTGGTTTTTTGTTTTTTGTTTTTCGAGACGGAGTCTTGCTGTGTCACCCAGGCTGGAGTGCAGTGGTGTGATCTTGGCTCACTGCAACCTCCACCTCCTGGATTCAAACAATTCTCCTGCCTCAGCCTCCCAAGTAGCTGGGACTACAGGTGCCCGCCACCACACTCGGCTAATTTTTGTATTTTTTAAAGTAGAGACAAGGTTTCACTATGTTGGCCAGTCTGGTCTTGAACTCCTGACCTCGTGATCCACCCGCCTCTGCCTCCCAAAGTGCTGGGATTACAGGCATGAGCCACTGCACCCAGTCTCCAATTGCTTTCTTGACATCTTGACATTTAGATGTCTGTCTAGTACTTATATCAAATTTAACATATCCAGGGTATCGTTGTAGTGTCCCTGTTGGTTAAAATATCAGTTCTGCCAGTTTAATTACTATGATTATGATTTTTTTTAGACAGAGTCTCGCTCTGTTGCCCAGGCTGGAGGGCAGTGGTGTGATCTCGGCTCACTGCAACCTCTGCCCCCCAGATTCATGCCATTCTCCTGCCTCAGCCTCCCGAGTAGCTGGGACTATAGGCGCCCGCCACCACGCCTGGCTAATTTTTTGTATTTTTAGTAGAGACGGGGTTTCATGAATGTTAGCCAGGATGGTGACCTGTGATCCACCCGCCTCAGCCTCCCAAAGTGCTGGGATTACAGGCGTGAGCCACCGCGCCCGGCCCAGTTCAATGATTATTATTAGTTAGAAAGCAAGTGACGTGGTTGGAGTATAGTGTACTTTGATGCTTTGTGGGAATAAAACAGCTTTAGGCAGTCTTTCCTGAAATAGCTCCCTCCTTCTCCCCAACCGCTCTCTCCAGTTTCCAACCCTTTGTTGTGCTTTCTCTTCACAGCAGGTATCACACACTGAAAATATATTTGTTTGTTTATTCTCTGCTTTCCCTGCTAGACTGCCTGTTCCAGGAGGGCAGACTATGCTGATCTTGCTCACTCCATGAGCCCAGAAGAAGGCCCGACACACAGCAGGTGCTCAATAAATAGTTGTTCAATAAATAGTTGAACAGTGAATGCGTAATCTGATTTTTCCAAGAGTTAGGACGGCAGTGTTTTTTTTTTTTTCTTTTTCTTTTTTTTCTTAAGACAGAGTTTCACTCTGTCGCCCAGGCTGGAGTGCAATGGAACAATCTCGGCTCACTGCAACCTCCGCCTCCTGGGTTCAAGTGATTCTCCTGCCCCAGCCTCCCAAGTAGCTGGGATTACAGGCGCATGCTACCACACTCAGCTAATTTTTTTTATTTTTAGTAGAGATGGGGTTTCACCATGTTGGCCAGGCTGGTCTCAAACTCTTGACCTCAGGTGATCCACTCGCCCTGGCCTCCCAAAGTGCTGGGATTACAGGTGTGAGCTACCTTGCCCGGCCTGAATTTGCTTTTTTTTTTTGAGATGGAGTCTCGCTCTGTCACCCAGGCTGGAGTGCAACGGGGCAATCTTGGCTCATGGCAACCTCCACCTCGCAGGATCAAGTGATTTTCCTGCCTCAGCCTCCCAAGTAGCTGGGATTAACAGGCGCCCGCCATCACGCCCAGCTAATTTTGTACTTTTGGTAGAGACAGGGTTTCTCCATGTTGGTTAGGCTGGTCTCCAACTCCCAACCTCAGGTGATCCGCCTGCCTCGGCCTCCCAAAGTGCTGGGATTACAGGCGTGAGCCACCGCACCCTGCCGAATTTGCTATTTCTAGAAGTGCCTTGGGTGATTCTGTTGCCCTTAGTCACTAGAAAAGTCACTCCGAATCAGACAACGCTTGGTTTGACCCCAGTCTGTCACTTACGAGCTGCATGACCATAGGGAAGTAGCTTCTTCTCTGATCTTGTTTTCTTATCTGTAGACAATAGGCATGACCACATTCTCATGGAGCTGTTATGACACATTAATTAAATTAATGGATGTAGAGTTCTTGGCATAATGCCAGTTGTTCAGGCGGCTGCCACTACGATATTATTATTATTATTATTATTTTATTGTTATGCCCAAGCAGGAGAAGATTTTTCTCCCTGTAAGATCACTCTCGGAGTCTCCTCAAAGTGGGGTTCTGAGACCAGCAGCATCAGCATTACCTGGGAGCTGGCTTAAAATGGAGAATCTCTGCCCCACCCCACATCTACTGAATTGAAATCTACACTTTAACGAGACCGCGTTGAATGTTTGCACATTCACATTTTAAAAGGACTGTTCAAAGTCACACGTACTCTTTTCTTCCTGTCTCTAATTTCAGGAGTCTGCCCAGGAGGTTCATGAGCCCTGGCATCCCAGAATCTGAATCCTTCCTCAGTGACAGTGGCTCTTTACCCTTCTAAGTGCAGAGGAGGAAGCCCAGCGCATTCTGGGTGCACTTCCAGCTGAGGAAATAAGGAGGAGGAATTCCTGAAGCCCTGAACAAGTGCCTGGGATGGATCCAAACTCCATCTTGCTTTCTCCTCAGCCCCAGATCTGCTCCCACCTAGCAGAAGCTTGTACGGAAGGCGAGAGAAGCTCATCCCCTCCAGAGCTGGATAGAGACTCCCCGTTTCCCTGGAGTCAGGTCCCCAGCTCCAGCCCTACAGACCCCGAATGGTTTGGTGATGAGCACATCCAGGCAAAGAGGGCCAGAGTGGAGACCATTGTCCGAGGCATGTGTCTCTCCCCGAATCCTCTGGTGCCAGGCAATGCGCAAGCTGGGGTCAGCCCACGCTGCCCAAAGAAGGCCCGAGAGAGGAAGAGGAAGCAGAACCTTCCCACACCGCAAGGCCTCCTGATGCCAGCCCCTGCCTGGGACCAGGGCAACAGGAAGGGGGGCCCTCGTGTGAGAGAACAACTTCATCTGCTGAAGCAACAGCTAAGACATCTGCAAGAGCACATCCTACAGGCTGCCAAGCCCAGGGACACAGCTCAGGGGCCAGGAGGCTGTGGCACGGGGAAAGGCCCTCTGAGTGCAAAGCAGGGGAATGGCTGTGGGCCTCGCCCCTGGGTTGTGGACGGTGACCACCAGCAAGGTACCAGCAAGGACCTCTCTGGGGCAGAAAAACACCAAGAGTCTGAGAAGCCCAGTTTCCTTCCTTCTGGAGCACCAGCTTCACTAGAGATTCTGAGGAAAGAGCTGACCAGGGCAGTGTCCCAGGCTGTGGACTCGGTATTACAAAAGGTACTATTGGATCCACCAGGCCACCTGACTCAGCTGGGCAGAAGCTTCCAGGGGCAGGTGGCAGAGGGTAGAAGCGAGCCCTCACCTCCTGTGGGAGGGGCCTGTAAAGATCCACTTGCTTTGGCTGCCTTGCCCAGGAGGGTCCAGCTACAAGCTGGGGTCCCAGTAGGAAATTTATCACTGGCCAAGCGTCTAGATTCTCCTAGGTACCCTATCCCTCCAAGAATGACCCCCAAACCCTGTCAGGATCCCCCAGCAAACTTTCCCTTGACTGCACCTTCCCACATCCAGGAAAATCAGATTCTTAGCCAGCTACTGGGTCATAGATACAACAATGGCCATTGGAGTAGCAGTCCTCCCCAGGACTCATCTTCCCAGAGGCACCCCTCCTCAGAGCCTGCCCTACGACCTTGGAGAACTACTAAGCCGCAACCATTGGTCCTGAGCCAGCAGCAGTGTCCCTTGCCTTTCACCTCTGCCCATCTGGAAAGTCTACCCCTTCTTCCCTCGGTGAAGATGGAACAGAGAGGCCTGCATGCTGTCATGGAGGCACTGCCTTTCTCTTTGGTCCACATATCCTTTAATAGCAATTGAAGTTCTCATTGTTGGCCAGGTGCAGTGTGGCTCATGCTTGTAATCCCAGTGCTTTGGGAGGCCAAGGTGGGAGGATTACTTGAGGACAGGTGTTCAAGACTAGCCTGCACAACATAGCTAGACCCCATCTCTAAAAATAAAAAATTATCTGCACATGATGGCCCATGCCTGTAGTCCTACTCAGGAGGCTGAGGCAGGAGGATTGCTTGAGCCCGGGAGTTCGAGGTTACAGTGAGCTATGATTGCACCACTGCACTCCAGCTGGGCAACAGAGAGAGACAATGTTTCAATAAATAATTTAAAATACCATTGACACTGTGCAGAGAAACAAGAAAACTAAAAGTTGAAGAGGAGCTGGGGACAGATCACTCAGGGTCTTCTTAATGTTGCTCTGGGCCTTCAGCTTATAGTGGTGACCACATTCTGGAATTTAAGGACCTGGGAAGGTTCACTTAGCTTCTTCTATGACCCATCGGGTTCTGCCACTTGACTTATTCCTTTGGGTCTAAAAGGGTTTTGTTTTGAGACTCAAATAGGCTTCTGAAATACAATGAATACCCTAAGGAAGAAAGAATCCATAATTTGGTTGTCAGCCACCCATAAACTTAGGAGGAGAGGGTCAAAGGAATGACGTCATCTAAGGTATGGCCTCCCCAACCCCATAGCTCTACAAGCAAAAATCCTATATTGTGTAGATAATTCCTGGGGAGCAGATGAGGAACAAGAAACTTCTGGGCCAAATGGAAAAGGAGTTTTCCTCGGGGATTAAACCCAGAGAGGTGGCTGGAAACGGCCAGAGGTCTCCAGTTTAAGGAACAACTTCCAAGGTGCAATGGAGTGCCTGGAGACTAGGGGCTGGGCATATGAAGGGAGAGGAGGCTCCCCATGAGGAGGCCTGAGTGGCCCAGGCTGATCTGCAGGGCTCTGGATCTTATTGCATCATCTTTGCAACCCTTAAGTAGACACTACTCTCTTAATGTATTTCCCAGAGTAACCCTCGGGATATTAATAATTGTTGAGTTAGAAGAAAAAGTACCTTGGGGAAATACTGAGATAGTTTCTTTTCTGCAGGAATTCTCAGAGCCTTTAACATGAGTAAATGGAAGCTCTAAGAGGAGAATGTACACAGCCCCAAACCCATATGACCACTTCTAACAAGCATCTTGCAGAACTTAAGTTCTTGAGAATATATTTTGGATGTTGCTTTTTAAGCTAGCTGTGCTCACGCTGCTGCTTCTTGTGTGCAGCTTTGAGGGGAATCTCCAGAAGCTGATGAGTCTATGGAGTTGCATATCCAGGTGGGAACAGTCGTGTCCTTTGCCTGGCAACTACTGTGAGGGCAGCAGGATGGGGTGGGACCAGCTCATTACCATGCCAGAACCTGCCTTTGTGTCCTAAATGCCATGAGCGCCCCCTGCCGGTCAAAAGTGTTGGAAACACCCCAAAGCTTTCCTGGAAGTTAGCGAGCAACTGTAAAACCAATGCTGAGAACACTTCACTTGCCACCACTCTTGGAGGCAGAGATTCCACCATAGACAGATTTTCTTTATAAGAAAGGCTACCTGTCTGGGCCTTTGATAACCACTAGTTGACTCTCCATTAAATTCAGACAGCTGCAAAAACACCTCAGTCTCCCAGAATTTGCTATTTGTTGAGCACCTACATGTGCCTGTTCCTGCCCCCTAAATTGGGGATTGGGCTCAGAGAGCTTCTGGAGGTTTGGGGCCTATCCTAAGAAATACCTAAGCCAGGACTGGCTGCATGGGTGAAGTACTTGACTATCTTTGGAATGACTTGGGACCCCCTAGCAGCACCCTGGCCCCTCAACTCTTCCCTCATTCCTGCTGCCTATATTCCAAGAGATTTATTCCTGTGGGCCATGAAAGCCACCTGAGAGCAAGCTGCTTTACAGCATAAAAAGAACGTTCACATTCACATGACATCCTGTGACATAGGTAGGGCAGATGTGAAGATCACGAGGGGAGCATTGACAGAACACCTTCTCGGTGGCAGGCATTGCTACCAGCACTTCACACATATGTGCCCACCACCACTTAGCTACAATTCTGAAACCCATAAAGCTTTGACAGGCCCTATGATTTTCCCCCCCTAAGAATGATGCAATCTTTTTTTTTTGGTAGCAAAACCTGGCTTGCACTGATTGGAGGCTATTAATAGATTTTATCCCACTTAGTATAGTCATACGTTCTGCTGCAGAAATGTTAATGTATTGGATTATACACTGTCTCAGCTGTGGATGTTAATTAATGTGTGGTACACACATCGTATTATCTTTATAAGCTAACAAATTCTGAAATCCAAACTCCATTTGGCTCAGCATTTCAGATAACGGGTTTAGACCTGTATTATCTCACCGTTCTCAAGCATCCACTCTAAGATCGGGTATCCGAGAAGCAGAGACAGAGAAGGGAGCTAACTCGTCCAAAGTCCCAAGACACACTAATGAGCAACCAGGATTTAAACCCGGGATCTGATGGCCAAGTACAAGCTTTAACCACTATACTCCACATCTTAGCAATGAGGCTCAGAGCAGTTAAGTGGCTTGCCCAAGGTCACACAGCTAATAGATGGCAAAATCAGTGTCTGAAACTGGGTCTTTGGAATCCCAATCCAGGATTCTCTCCACAGCATTTGTGGATCTGTAGGAAGGGTAAGTAGGGGCTGATGGGGCAGCAGGGAGGGATCTCCTGTGCAGCAACTAGGTGCCTGGGCCACCTATAACCATAGTCAGTTGGTCTGGTTTCTTTTGGTTAAACAGATTCATCCTATGTGGAAGTCTTCACTGTCTTAAGCTACAGCTCTCGGATCTGAGATCCCAGGTTACTCTGTGTAATGCTTCTCACCCAGCCTAAGGACTGTCCCTAAAAATGCAAAGCGTATTTGTGTAAATCTTTTTTTCATTTCCGTCCTGCCCTAGTGCTAGGCAGTCACATCACAATTCTCCGACTCTTGTTAAAGGGGAAGGAATCTGTCTGTTCCCAGAGTGAGGTATAGTTTGGAATCTAATTTCCATATATGTGTATGGATTAAGGTTGACCGTTCACTCACTTACTCCTTCACACAACAAATATTTATTGAGCACCTGCTATGTTCCTAGCACTGGGCTAGGCACAAAGATGAAAAGATAAGGTCCTCACTCTCAAGGAGCTCACAGTCTAGACGAGACAAACATACAGTAAAAATTCCAATAAGGTCATCGCTGCAACAGTTTGTACAAAGAGTCTTCATAGCCCAGGGTAAGGAAGGCCTAATTTGGCAAGGAAGGGTTTAACAGAGGTGGGAGCTTCTGAGCTGAGACCTGAAAGATGAGGGATAGTTCTGCCAGGCAAATGGAGAGTGGGTACCACCCAACCATTCAAGCTTCTTGAGCAAGAGCAAAATATGAGCTGGTATTCAGCCTGCTTAGATGTTTGCTGGTTATAAAGGCAACACTGTGAAGGCAATGATAAGAGTGACAGCCAGAATGGGGACCACCTAGTTTACTCTTCTCGTTTTACAGCTGAGGAAACTGAGGCAGAGAGGGGAAGTAAATCTCTGCTTGGGGTTTTGAAATGGTTTATCTGGGATAGAATTGCCATCTCTTCCCATCCCACTTGGACACCACACACACACACACACACACACACACACACACACACACACACAATACACCAACCTGTATTTGACATCTAAGACACCACACACACACACACACACACACACACACACAAAATACACCAACCTGTATTTGACATCATCTATGCTACATAACTTTTCCACATCGAGATGATTTTTACATTCTGTGACTTAACTGTGCACATATGTCATCCAGCTTATTTGACCAGAGTTTCCAGAGACAGAAAAATGGAGCAAATACACAATTCCAATCAGAAAAACAAAATGAAATCAAATAGAAACCACAGGAACAAGGAATTCACTAGTTAATTGATAAACTGGCATTTTAAAGTGTTCATTTTCCTTGACACTGAGATAAATCCAGGAGGGTCTAAACCCTGGTCACTTGAAGAAGGCCAAACTAATGTTTTTCTTCACACGATATCCCAGCTCCAACCTCCTGAAGGTTTATTTTCCTGATGTTCAGGTAAAGTCACTCAACTAAATGGCAGCTTCTGCAGAACTCCCAAGAGGCAGTGTGTTTTGCCTGGTGTGAGGCAAGTCCTAGGTCATCATATGTGCACTTCAAGCTCCCCTTAGTGTTGCTGATGGAAGCAATGTCCAGTTCTGGGCTGAGACTCTACCCAAATAACCGTGAATAACTTTAGGCTAGAAAGGCTGGCTGTCTAAATTCTTAAGCTACTGAGCTGTAGATAATCCCCAAAACAGAAACACATGGGCAGGAAAAGTAGAGGGAAACAGAAACACTAGTTAGTGGCCTTTTTGGCTAGTTTTCTGCCTTGGCTGGGGACACTATGAAAAATAAAATATAGGCCAGGCACAGTGGCTCATGCCTCTAATCCCAGCACTTTGGGAGGCCGAGGTGGGCAGATGACCTGAGGTCAGGAGTTCGAGACCAGCCTGACCAACATGGTAAAACCCCATGTCTACTAAAAATACAAAAACTAGCTGGCGTGGTGGCGTGCGCCTGTAATCCCAGCTACTCGGAGGCTGAGGCAGGAGAATCACTTGAACCCAGGAGGTGGATGTTGCAGTGAACAGAGATCACGCCACTGCACTCCAGCCTGGGCGACAAAGCGAGACTACATCTCAAAAAAAAAAAAACACACAAAAACAAACAAACAAACAACAAAAAATATATATAGAGAGGGAGAGAGAGACAGAGTGTCAGACACTGTCAAATTTATGTTCAAATTGCTATAGTTCAAAACTGAGTGAAAGTACATACAGATGAAGTGTGACAATAAGGAAAATCAAACTAATTGTTGGGACCAGACCTCCCCTGTTCCCATAAAAGGTTTCTGAGGGCCTCTTTTACTTTGGGTGTTGGGTTAGGGGCTGTTAATACTTTTGGTCTACATCATTCAAGCTTTTCTTTCCCTCATATTCAGTTGGTTGGTTGATCCCTGAAGCAACCTCTGATTTTGATTTCAATTCATTCCACAATTCAAAGTTGCTAATAAACTGCTCCCTGACCTACATCTTGCCCTTCCCTTGGCCCTTTATCCAAGTGGAAGGCCCCAGGCCTGCCATGCAGTCCACCTGGGTGCAGCAAAATCTGGCACCACACTGGTCGTGACCCCTAAGTCCCACTCAAACACCACAAAAAGCTTTTCATGGGTAAAACAACCCCCATAAATCTAGCATATCAAAAAAAAGTTATGTTCTAATGGGCACTGTAGCTAATTTAGATTTTTCTGAGTATAACTAAATAGGCTTGGAAAATAGCGGTGGCTTCGCTTCTTTTTTTAAAGGAAGCCCCTGTTAATGCTGGTTAAAGCCGTATATGAACCCCTATACTGAGCTGGAAGCAGACAGTTCTAATTCTGAGCACCTCGTGGCAAATGTCTGACTGGATGGACCTCTTGTTTGTACAGTTCAACCGCTGCATTACCTCCCAGATGATCAAGTGGTTCAGCAACTTTCGTGAGTTTTATTACATCCAAATGGAAAAATCTGCCCGGCAAGCAATTTCAGATGGTGTCACAAATCCCAAAATGCTGGTGGTTCTCCGCAATTCAGAACTTTTTCAAGCTCTCAATATGCACTACAACAAGGGAAATGACTTTGAGGTAAGACCATGTACTGGGTTCCCATGAGATCTGATGAGTGTCTTCCCTATATGATTCGAGTTTTAGGAAAGATCCCTCTTCTGTGTCTCCTTAAGTTACTGAGAGCCAGGGCAGCCTGGGCCAATCTCTGTATCATCCACAAAGATTACAGCCTCAACATCTTCACTTGGGCAACAGGTGGAAGCAGCAAACTGAGTCAACAGCCAGTCTTCATTCTGAAGCTTAGTGAGAGGGCTGCCAGGTGTTACACCATCTTAGACTGAATACCCTGTCATTATCAAGTTACATAACTTCCTGACCTTTTTGCCTTAGTGCCAGGAGGCTCAGGACTGAATGCTGAGCTCAGTTGTGGCACCTAGTCTTGGCCTAGGTTTTCTCAACAATTTCTATGCTTTTCATGATTTGATTCTTATCTGTATTTTCCCTTGAAAATGTATCAGTGGGCCTTCCATAGCAAGTCACCTCAAATCCTTTCTGGAAATAACAATAAACAACACTCAAGCTCAGTCCCTCGGGGATCCCTATGAAGGCACACTGGTGGCACCTCAGAGGTAAAGCGTCAGTGAAAGGTGAGCCTAGGTGTCACTGGCGCACATTCCTAATCAAGAGATGCATGTTGCCTCATGCACAGCTGACAGCTGTTAGGCTGGCATCTGATTCTGCAGGTGCCGGGTATATCTGGTCACAGATTACACTTCCCTCTTCTTGACTTCTCCCTTGACTGTGATCACAAAGAGTGGTTTATTGATACCTCCAAAAAATACAAGAACTGTGGTCATCCACTGGTTGACTGGTGAGTCAGAGTATGTTTGGAAAGCTAAGACTACCTGTGGGGAAAATTGTCCATGTCTCCCTTTCTGAGGCTCAAGGGGTCACGGCCAGTATGGGACAGGCAGCACTGCTGCATCTTTCCACATAGGGTGGTCATTTGACCTGCAGTGGCAGCAAGCCCCAAGCCAAGCTGGGTCTGGAGCTTGGCAGTGGGGCAACCCATCATTCATGGTGCCAGTCTGGGTTAGGATTCTAGAACAGCACCCCCGTCAACCAGCTCTGAAAGCAGGAGTGTAAGCTCTTCAGACCCAGCCCTAAAAGGCAGTGGAATGAGGTATGACAGTCAGAAGCTTGGGGGCACTCCTTTCCACAGTTAGTACTAGGGAAAAGAATACCGAAGTCTCTTTGAGCCACAGATTTACTTTCAGTAAGATTTTCTGACCTGCTTAGTTAAAAAGTCGCCCATTAGCGAGATCAGCTCCTCCTACAAAGGAAGTGTCCTTAATTCACCTTCTCCCAGGGCTTTCTCACTGGAGCTGTCTTATCAAGGTTTGTGTCTGATGAGGAAGCAGAGGAGTCCTAGGGTTGCAGAATCAGGGGCCACTAGAGCAGGGATGCTCCTAGCCCACTACCCAAGAAACAGGCAGCACCCGCTAGTGAGGGCTCTGGCACCAGTGCTTCCCAACCTCACGTCTTTTCTTTCTTGTGGGTCTCTTTGGAAATGCAGGTTCCAGATTGCTTCTTGGAAATTGCCAGCTTGACGTTACAGGAGTTCTTCAGGGCTGTCTCCGCAGGGAGAGACTCAGATCCTTCCTGGAAGAAACCCATTTATAAAATTATTTCGAAACTGGACAGTGACATCCCAGAGATATTCAAATCTTCCAGCTATCCCCAGTAGCTGTTTCGGGGTTAAGATCCCACAACGTGAGGAGTGACTGGCTAGGGTTTCCTGGGTTTGTCTTAAAGGGCAATTTAGCTGTAGTCATATAAAAAGGGCACAAGGAAATCTCCTCTATCAAAACAGGTACTATTACCATTTTGATCATTTATTTCCCTTTCCAGAATCATCAGAAATTTAACTATAAAATGTACTAACTATATTGGTGTATTGGTAGTATATTGTAAAAGGAACACAAGTTTCCAATCAGAAGACTTGAAGCTCAACTCCATTGTTTCCAGGTGTTGTGACCCTGGGAACTTCCTGGTATCTCTGTATCTGTAAAATGAGGTTGTTAAGGATTAAAGGACAGTATGTCCTATGCAATGTCATTCACACACAAATGTCAGTTTTTTGAGCCCCTCTTTCAGATAAGGTTATCTTATTTGGGGTTTTTACAAATTGCTGTTTTTAGTCACCTAATTATAAAGCGCCATCTATTTGCTAGATACTTTCACATACTTTAAGCTTTTCACCCTGAAAAGTAGTTATTATCATCATTTAAAAGATGACCAAACAGAAGCTTTAGAACTGCAAGGTAACTCGCCAAAGCCTATGAGGCTAGGACATCTGGGTTGATAGGGACAGTCAGGAGCCTGGAGGAACCAAGACTTTCTGATGCCCAACTGCATGCTGGACCCATCTCCTGCAGCTAACTCAGGATCTCAAGCAGGACCCCACCCCTAGTAAGCATCCAGCGCTGACAGGGCACCGTCACCTGACAACTCCTGCCCAGCACTTAGGAGCACTTCACCGCCCAAGATTTCTGCTGATCATTTCAGCAAACTCAAGACAAACTTTATGCAGGACTTGAGTGTTGCTGTTTATTCACATTTGTCTGCTGGAAGAGTTTATCAGCTGGATAATGCAAATAGTCTCCAGCTGACCATTGCAATTGGTGCCCCAACCTCATATATGCAGAAGAAGCTGAACTTCAGACTGTGAAAGGTAGAAAGGGCCTTAGGAGATCATCTGGCCCATGCTGCTTAAATTGGGAAGGAAGAACCGCAGTCCAGACAGGAGGCTTGCACAGGCTGTGCACAGCCTTGCAGATGATAAATGGCATAACTGGGACAAATGCAGCATCACACAGAAATGGAAATTCTCCCACTCCATAACAAAATTACAGTCCATGGCTGACCTTCCACTGATGAAGGAATTCATGAAATCAACATTTCCCCCTGCTGCTGGCCCAGCACAATTGTGACCCACTCTTGAGTATATAGGCAAGGCATGTACAAAGCTGAGTAACTGCATCTGTCTTCTAAGCTAGTCAGGATCAAGTCTTTGTAAGCACTGCCAAAGGTACGCCGGGTGGGGTGGGGTGGGGGTAATACACAGCTCGGGCTTTGTAGTCCTGATAAGGGGTGTCTGTGAGTTCATTAGCTTCTTTCCTGTCTATATAAAACAAGTTTCATATTCGGCTACTCAACTTCCATAATTTTTCTGGTGGGGTGTTGCTGGAGCAGATGAGATAAAATCCCTAAACTATTACTAGAACTATCAGCATAAAAAGTATGAAAGATGAATTTTCCTTTGAATTTTCTCTTCAAACAGCTGAAAGGAAAAACAAAACAGACTTAGCCCAAACCCATCTTTACAGGCTAAAGGTTAAGTGCCCTCCAGTACATCCAATTGCACTCAGAAGATCTTTGCCCTATTTTCACAAAAATGAAGGAATCTGCCAAACCTAAGTTTTAAACACAGGCAAGCATGGAGTGCTCTGAGCAAGGGCAATCAGTTTTCTGTGTCCGGACATAGTAGAAGAACCCTCTATCCAGAGTGACATTACATACCTAAGTTAGACATACAGGGGAAACAAGTTCACATGACTGTCCAATAGAGAGCAGCCCTTCTTCTGTCCCAAACCTGAAATTCATTAGTGTGTGTTTAAAGACTGAGCCAAGTCACCTCCAGGGCAGTGAACCTTGTCTCAGGGACCAATGAGATGAAATGTACAAGCTCAAATTGAAAACATTTGTGTACTGCAGTCTTTCCAGGAAGTGTTCTCTAACCACTGAGCTAAACACAGAAGAATGTATAAATATGTATGCTCTGCCAACAGAAGAATTCTATTTGATTATAATTTTCTGTTTCTATCAAGTGCGTATCCCTCTCTGTTGGAAACACATGGAGTGTAAGCTGAGTGGGTTATTATTTTAGCAATCATACTTTGCCAAAGATCTGGTCATTTTTTCCACTAAGGTATATGAGGGCACTATTCTTTTATTTTTTTGAGACAGGGTCTCACTCTCTCACTCAGGCTGGAGCACAGTGCCACGATCACAGTAGCCTTGATCTCCCAGGTTCAAGTGATACTCCCACCTCTGCCTCTCGAGTAGCTAGGACTACAGGCACATGTCACCATGCCCAGCTAAGTTTTTAAAATTTTTCTGTAGCAATGGGGTTCTCACTATGTTGCCCAGGCTGGTCTCGAACTGCTGGGCTCAAGCAATTCTCCCACCTCAGCCTCCCAAAGTGCTAGAATTATAGGCATGAGCCACTGTGCCCGGCCTTGGGTGCTACTCTCTCCTAGATTAGACATGTTCAAATACTGCATAATTGTCTTAATTTTTCAATGGTGGACTATAGGGTCTGCACTGTGGTTTATGATGATGGCACTACTGAGGAGTTAATGCCCAATTATCAATTAAAAGCAGGCAGTTGATTGGTATCCCATGGAGGAAAATGTTCATTAGGAACCTTTATTTCAAACACTGTTTCATATAGTATACAAAACCCAAACCAGACTCAAACGGTGAGAGGCTGAAGGACATGTAAGGGGTACCTAAACAATTTATTTTCCATCAGAGAATGAGCAAAGTATAAACAGCAAACAGCACAGCACTCTTTAATAAAGCTCTACACCCAGCCCTCTTACGTAGGTCCACTTTTAAAATGTTGTCTTTGCTTTCAATGACAAAATAGAGAGAATCCTCAGAAAAAAAAAATTTAAAATTGCACTTCCCTAATTTTACAAGTGTCTTTTGAAAATATATCTTTGGCTGGGCACGATAGCTCATGCCTGTAATCCCAGCACCTCGGAAGGCTGAGGTGGGAGGATCGCTTGAGCCCAGGGGTTTGAGACCAGCCTGGGCAATGTGGTGAGGCCCCGTCTCTACCAAAAAAGAAAATACAAAAATTAGCCAGCGTAATGGCGTGTGCCTGTAGTCCCAGGTACTTGGGAGGCTAAGGTGAGGATCACTTGAGCCCAGGAGGTTGAGGCTGCAGTGAGCCGGCAATCATGCTACTGCACAGCCCTGGGCGATAGAGTGAGACCTTGTCTAAAAAAAAAAAAAAAAAAAAAAAAGAAAAAGAAAGAAAGAAAAAGATAAAAATTATTTATTTTAAAAGTCCTAAAGGCCGGACGCGGTGGCTCACGCCTGTAATCCCAGAACTTTGGGAGGCCGAGGCGGGCAGATCACCTGACGTTGGGAGTTCGAGACCAGCCTAAGCAACATGGAGAAACCCCATCTCTACTAAAAATACAAAATTAGCCGGGCATGGTGGCACATGCCTGTAAATCCCAGCTACTTGGGATGCTGAGACAGGAGAATCACCTAAGCCCAGGAGGCGGAGGTTGTGGTGAGCTGAGATCGCGCCATTGCACTCCAGCTGGGCAACAAGAGCGAAACTCCGTCTCAAAAAAAGAAAAAAGTCCTTACAAAATTAGCCAAAATTTTGGTAACCAGTTTTCTGAAGTCCTATATAGTCCAGATTTTCATAATAATTGATTCTAGTCCTTTGATTTACAGTTTTGATCCTCTGCTCTGTAAAGCAGATCACAGTTTGATAATATATACAATCAAAACAAAACAGAAATTTTAAAAATCCTTTGATGTTTTTACACAAACTGTTAAGTATTGCACAGATTTCACATAAAGCAAGATCATCAGACAAGATAATGAAACAGTGGTGGGCACGAAAGAGATACTGAATACTTTAGCTAGAACAATATAGCTCTATCAGGCTGAGGATTATATACATTTGAATTTGAGTTCTGTACAAGTCTTAACTGCTTCAGGGATTGAACCTTTGGGGTGGATAGAAATGAACTTGTGACAATATGGCAAATATAATGCTTTTCATGAAAGTATTGTATAAAATATTCTTGGTCAGATTTACCACAAATATACACACCTACACCTGTAAAGTACGAGTTCAGATGATCCACTTTAGAGTATTAATAATGCATGCTGTACCTTTGAGGTAGATCATGGTATCTACATTTACAAAGAGTTACTAAGCACTCACCTGTGGAAGAAGATGATTCATGAAAAGAGTATTTTTCAGGATTAGACAATTCCTACACAAAGAAAAAGCTTTTTTTTTTTGAGATGGAGTCTCGCTCTGTCACCCAGGCTGGAGTGCAGTGATGCGATCTTGGCTCACTGCAGCCTCTACCTTCTGGGTTCAAGTGATTCTTGTGCCTCAGTCTCCCAAGTAGCTGGGATTATAGGTGCACACCACCATGCCCAGCTAATATTTGTATTTTTAGTAGAGACGGGGTCTCGCCATGTCGGCCAGGCTGGTCTTGAACTCCTGACCTCAGGTGATCCGCCTGCCTTGGCCTCCAAAAGTGCCGGGATTACAGGAATGAGCCACCACACTCGGCCCTCTTTTCAATAACCTAAGTACTATATATAACCAAGTGCCTAAGAGTTGAATGCTCAGTCCTATTTAAAAAAAAAAAAAAAAAAAAAAAAGCAAAACAGATGCTAGCCTCCAGAGGAAGGGAGTGTCTGATGAAATGTTGAAGGCAGGTGAACAATGAACACAGTAAAGGAACAACCCAAACCGTCGCCAGTTTTACATGTCCATCTGCTCACTAGGGGTCTGCTTTTCTTTCACCAAGAGTTCTTCAGGGTGATTTCATTTCTCACGATCTCACCCCTTCATGCTCAGAAACTCTTGTTTTGCCATTTCCAATTCTCCAGTCACACCTCAAACAAATGTCAATTCCTTTTCTTCCCTTAGGAAAACCTTTCTCTTTCCCCTATTTACTGATTTCTGTGGCTCTGACTTCCATGCCCTCAGTTACTGCTTCTGGACTGGAGCTTCAGCTGTCGGCAAGAATGTTGTTCCTCCCTTTACCCTTTCCCCACTTTATCCTCAGGTATCTGACCTAACAATGCTTCACCCACCCTATTTGCTTTCCACCTCACCTAATACCTTTCCCAAATCGAGTAGTTTGTTAGGTGCATGGGCTTTGGGGTGTGTTTTCATCCGGGCTCAACCACCTATCAGCTACGGATCTCTCTAAATTACTTACTCTTCTTGGCCTCAGCTTGGCCATCTGTAAAACAGAGATAATAATATAGCACCTACCTCATAATATTGTTCTAAGGTTCAGGTAAAACCATACATGTGAAATGCTCAACACACTTCTAGAGCATAGTATGTGCTCAGTAATTGTTAGCTGTATTACTGCTCAGCAGTCATAGATTGTTAGCAAAGTCATGAATTTGTACTGCTTCACAGTGAAAAAGAATTCTTAGCTTAACAACATCACTGACATGTAACACGGACACAACCATAAAACTTAGCTTTAAACTATGTTAATATAGTTTGGGAAGAAAACCCAGCTAAAAACCTTTGTGTTATAAAGTTTACATGCATTTCGTCATTTACTTTTTAAATACAACCCCATGTTGACATGTTTGACAAATGGCATTACGACTATTGCTGTTTCTTGGTTGGTTGCTCAGACGCTGACCTGCTTTTTCCTTACACAGGGGGATACACTGCATTTTTTTTATTTTTTTTTTATTTATTTATTTTTGAGACAGAGTCTTGCTCTGTGGCCCAGGCTGGAGTGCAGTGGTGCAATCGTGGCTCACTGCAAGCTCTGCCTCCCAGGTTCAAGTGATCCTCCTGCCTCAGTCTCCTGAGTAGCTGGGACTATAGGCGCATGCCACCACACCTGGCTAATTTTTGTATTTTTAGTAGAGACGGGTTTCACCATATTGGTCAGGCTGGTGTTGAGCTCCTGACCTTGTGATCCACCCACCTCTGCCTCCCAAAGTGCTGGGATTACAAGAGTGAGCCACTGCACCTGGCCTACACTGCATTTTTGACATCCTCTTAATTAAAAGCTCAGTGACTAATGTGGTATTTCTAAAATTATGCAACTTGCCATCTCTAACCACTGCTTTTTGGGGCTGTATCTATGTTCATTGAGTAGACTAGTTTTGGCTTGAATATTTTCTTAACTTCTGTACAGTTATTCAAAACATCTCTGTAGTTGTTCCACTTGTTAAAAGGGGCTGGCTGGTTCATTGCCTTCTTGACTGGGTCAGGGGTGGCGAGGGAAACATAACTGGAATCCTGGTTTTCCCCCCTCTTAACAGTTAAATCTATATTCAGGATTATTTTTTCATAAAGATTAGTTTTTTTTTTTTTTTTTTTTTTTTGCATACAGGGTCTTGCTCTGTCACCCAGGCTGGAGTGCAGTGGCAAAATCTTGGGTCACTGAAACCGCCACCTCCTAAGCTCAAGGGATCCTCCCACCTCAACCTCCCAAGTAGCTGAGACTACAGGCATGCACCACCATGCCTGGCTATTTTTTGTAGAGATGGGGTCTCACCATGTTGCCCAGTTTGGTGTGGAACTCCTGGGCTCAAGAGATCCGCCCACCTCAGCCTCCTAGCACTGGGATTACAGGCATGAGGCACCACACCCAACCTACTTTTTTTGATGGAAAGTAATCCAGCCTTTCTGGTTCTTTTCATTTATAGTCACTAATGTTGATTATCTTCTCCTCTGCTCTTCCATGAGTGTGGGTTGGTGATTATCAGAATATTTAAGGCTCTAAATGTCTTCTGGATAGTCTGTTTCTACATTGTCTTTTTCAAATCAAGCTTTATGAGACAATGGGATTGTCAACATGAAGTTTTGCTGACTTCTTACTGTATTAAATTTCTAACAAAAAAACACCATTACATCAGACAGAATGCATTTTTGATATACACCCCAAAGCTGCTTTTGCTCAATATTCCTATCTTGGTGTTTAGACACTTCTTTTCACACATCCCATTACTTCATCAGAGCTGAGCTTGCTGACTCTGAACCAATCAGAACAAACTCCAGAAACTCTTATTTCCTATAGAATTCTTGCCAAAAATGGTGCCCCAAAAAAGAATTTCTAAGGTAGACAGGGGGATGTGGGTACAAGAACAGAATACAAACTGTTTTGTTGATTGTAATTTATCAGCAAGTCCTGGGAACAGAAAGTTTAATAACAATGGACTTTCCTAAACACCTTAATTTTGACATACTATTGCAAAAATAATTTTTAAATTATCCTATCCATGAGGATTTATCCTTATGCCATGTGAACAGTAGACATGATTATGTATCCTTATGCTCTGGAGACAGTAATCACCTAAAAAATGTGAGTGAGGCAGGGTTTGACAGGTTGACTTAATGCTTAGAATATGCTATTTAAAGTGACTGTTACTATTTCTTTATTATAAAGCCATGCCTATTCAATTCAAATACATCAGGGCATTTCTCTGGGAGGCCAATAGTCTTCTTACTGTTTTAGGACTAAAAATATACAATGACTGTTTACTGAGCAGGTCTCAAATGTTCTGAAGTTTGGCAGAAAAAGAACTTCCTAGCATTCAATTTGTCCAAAAATTAAGATCAGCAACAGATTCTTATGCTCTGGGGCATATACTTCTCATTTTACTCCCTTCAAATAAAGCAAGTGGCCATGCTTGAACTACTCAAAAGCGTAGTTACTGAGAAAAGCACCAATATTGATGATCTCATGAAAAAAAAAAAACTAAAAAGCCACTTTATGTTGCAAAAGCTATGCTACTTACCCCCTCAAAGCAGCAGTCCCCAACAATATAAAGTCCTGAATTTAAGTCATGATGGGACTACAAGCAAAGTGACTCATTCTATACTCATTCTCTTAACAGTTCTTCACATTCCCACATGGAGTTCTGAATCTTGATTATGGTGGTGGTGATTACATGAAGCTACATGAGATAAAATTGCACAGAACCAAACACACACAAATACATGAAGTTACATTAGATAAAACTGCACAGAACCAAACACACACATACACATGAGTGCTTGTAAAACTGGTAAAATCTGAATAAGCTCTGTGGAGTGTATCAACATTAACTTCTTGGCTTTTAAAAGTTTTGACACACACTTCTCATTGTATAAGATGTTACCATTGGGGATGGCTGGTTGAAGAATACACCAGGACTTCTCTGTACATTTTTTTCTACAACTTCCTATGAATCTGTAACTATTTCAAAATAAAAATTTAAAAAACAATGAGAAATCAGAATCTTTGGGGAAAAGTTCTAATGAAGGAGTCACGTACTCTAAAGAAGACGCAAAACAGTCCATACCACCATAGAATGCATTTATAAGGACGCTTATGCCACAAATAGAGATTATCTTAGGTATCAAAGCAGATTAATTTAAAGAGATCATTCTAGCTTATTGAAAATAGCAATTCTCATTTTCTTGAGGTTTGTTCCATTTTGTATGTGATAACTGGAACTATGAACTAGTTCTCCTCTTAAAATCAGAAAGGACAAACCACAGAAAAATAATTTGTTCTGCCTGCCCACTGCACTTCTCTTCTCCCATCTACAACCTCCTCCACAAACCAAATTTCTCCTCTAAGCTTTCAAGTTTAAATAACATTGGACCACAACTCATGTCTGTCTATCGTGAGGAAACTTCACAACTGCAAAGGCCTAGGCTTGTTTCCAGGCCCACGGGCAAACATATGTTTTAGATTAAAAGGCATTTTAAATCTTGGCTTTATTTGCTCCCAAGAAGCCAGACTGTCCCTGTGCCTAAGCTGTTTCTTGGCTATCAAGCACCTTTGGAAACCGCATTAACTCTTTCAGCCTAGGTGGATTTTCTTTTGCACATTTAAAGAGTTTCATTAACAAGTATCCTTCCAACAACTGTATCTTCCACACCTGCAAAGTTAACCAACAGACCAGGGCCTTCGAAAGTTTTGCTTAATGAACCTATCATCAGCTAGAGATGAAATAAAATTTAAAATCCCCTTTACCCCACCAGTTCTCAAAGTTGGCTGCATATTAGAATGACCTGGTGGCCTTTTAAAAAATTACCAAGGCCTGGGTCCCACTCCTAGATTCTGATTTAATTGCTATGAGGTGTAGCCTGAGCTTTGGGAGTTTTAAAAGCTCCCCAGGTCAAAACCACCACTTGAGTGCACAACTCTTCACACTTTTCATATTTTATCATTCTTCCAAAAATGCATACATACAGAAAGGAGTAATCATCTATTCGAGTGTTTATGGAATCTAAGCAATCATTCCACCAGAACCTTACCAATCCAGGGGTTAAGGCCTCCAATGTCAGTCAATAGCCTTCCCTCTGGCCCCTGAAAATAAACACTGGGAATGCTGCCTTTCAGGTCTAGTAGAGGCCCTGCCAATGCACTCAGTTTCATATCTAGTGAATACAGAAGGCTCAGGTGAGAAACAGAAAATCCTCAAAGTATGTTCTTTTAATAAAAGCTTTACTACCTAAACAAATAAACTAGATCCTATTAAGAAAAGTGGGTGTTCCAGACTTCATTTTTTTTTTTGAAAATACAAAAACTGTATTTTCCGGGATCATTCAAACTTGTATGAAAAGAAGAGGTATGATGTAAGAAAATATTTTCACAGCACCTCTGGATCCAAGTTGTCATAATTCCAAAGGGAGCAGAGAATGACTTGGAAAAAAGAACTTCATGATTAAAGATTATTTCCTCAATTGACATTTTACCTTCCCCAAGATTGAAACAGCACCTATTCCAAAAGCAAACTGGTTATGAACTATCACTACCACTTAGAACCTATTTTGCTTATCCATATCAATTCCAAATCTAGATTCAAAAGGCAGAATTCAAATGAGTACAGCATATAAAACTGGAATTTTAAAATGAGAAAAAAAATTTTGAAACCCCCAATATTAAATTAAGACTGTTTCTAAAACACACATGTAGATAATTATTAGGAGAAAATAAAAAGAGAAATGGTTTCCCTGTAGCCCAGTAATTCAATTCTTCTGTATCTTCCCCAGGGAAGATTTTTGAAAATAAGCCTGCAAAAGGCATTTACAAGGATGTTCAATGCAACACTGGTATGACAGTGAAAAACTCACAAAAAAAGGAAAAAGTAAGCCATTATACACATATCATGGAATATACACAAACATGAATGCATGTATTTATATCTACCTATATATATATTTACCTATATATACATATATACATGCATGTGTGTATCCAAGACATAGTAGGTCTGCAGAACAGTATGTAAAGAATATCAGTCATGTAAAAAACAGTAAAACTGTATTTTTATAGGCAAGTACATATGTATACAAATACACACAAAAAGGTTTGGAAAAGCCACACTCCAAAATAATAGTAATTACCTCTAAGATTCAAGGTATTTGTGCTTAAGGGGGAGGGGGGAGTGTTGAGCTTTATCTGTAATATTTTATTTTTTTAATAATGAAAATGAATTCACATCTTCTGGATAGAATATATGAATTTGAAAAAGACGATGCCCAGAAACACTTCAATAAATTAAACATAATTATACCCACCTTGACTGTGACAGGTCCCAACAAAGCTTTAATGACACACATCCTCTTTCCTCAGTGGAAACAGCAGAAAGCAGTGGAGGGTTTAGAGCAGAAAATTCGGATCAAATTTGCATCCAGGTATAGTGGCCATTCAACTGCTCCACTTAACCAAAGGGAATTCTCACTGTCTTCTTTTCCTGGGATAGATGTGTGCCCACTATTTAACTGTATATACACAAGGTGCTTACCTGCAACTTGAGAAATGGAGGTACTGGAAGGATGTCACTCAAAAGGGGTAGCGGGGAGACAATATTCATGCTTCCATGTGAAAGCCAACAATGGACAAAAATCAACCCACCGCAAATTCAGCATCAGTATATTACATATGTATTGCCACTTCGCTCAATGAAGACAGAAATGCTTTTCCAAAATACTAGTAAAAAGGTGCTGCTCAAAATATTTATATGTAATAAAACCTGATGTTTCCTTTCTTACAAATATCTTCTTTGCCATAACTGTCTTTCAGACTTGTCATCATCCTTTAGAGCATGTCAGAAAAGTCCCAAAATGACAGCCTATTGGTAACATGTGGCTTCCAGATGTGATTTGTTTCTACTGTGACTATTTCACATAAAAATGCAGACTTCCACTTTATCTTCATCTAGTAACATTGGGTCTGTCTTTCTTCATTCCAACCACTGGCTGGAGAATTGTCCCCTGAGACAGGACAAGCACTCTGCACCATCCCAGCCTCCACCATACCCTACTGCTTCCTGAACCCTGAGGCTGAGAGGGCCAAGTACCCTGTTTTATTCTGCTTCTGCTGTTGTTTTTCTCACAGTAAAGAAAAAATAATACTGTACTTATGTCTCTACCAAAGGTGGGAAAACTAAGAGAGTGCCAAAAGTTTTGAGAATGAGAAACAGGGTATTTTTCTATAAGAGTGAAGAATATTCCCACATGTCTAATCTGCAAACAAAGTAAGTTTCTGTTGAAAGAATAAAACTAAATATATTATGAAATTACTGGCCAATTCTCTCATTTACACTTATCTTCCTGTCCTTTGAAGGCATTTGAATGTGCTACGCCTTAAGTATTGATATGCCACCAGCTGGAAGATACAGAGGTAGGGAAAAAGCAAACACAAGAATTGGTTTTATAAATTATACATATATGAACCTACATGAATTAATTTTATACTTAAAAATCACCAGGTCATCAATTCTAAATATACTTCTTGAGTAGCAACTATATGTAACAGATACTGCATATTATGTGTTACAAGGATGGAAGATGAGTAAAACATAATTCTCACCTTCTAGGAGCTTGTATGTAAGTGGGTAAGGATGGGGGGGAAGGATATATAAGTTACTCTACTAGAAAGGCAAATTAAGAGAAGATGGTAGGACATGTACAAACAAAGCCTGTGAGAGCTGGGAGGGAACAAGATGAGGAACAGATTCAGGGACGCAGTACCATGTGAGCTGGGCCTTTGGACAGTTTCTCCCACCACCGATCTTTTTTTTGAGATGGAGTCTTGCTCTGTCACCCAGGTTGGAGTGCAGTGGTGTAATCTTGGGTCACTGCCTCCTGGGTTCAAGTGATTCTCCTGGCTCAGCCTCCCGAGTAGCTGAAAATTTTTATATTTTTAGTAGAGATGGGGTTTCACCATGTTGTCCAGGCTGGTCTCAAACTCCTGACCTTGCATGATCCACCTGCCTCGGCCTCTCAAAATGCTGGGATTACAGGCATGAGCCACCGTGCCTGGCTTTTTTTTTTTTTTTTTTTTTTTGAGATGAGGTCTCACACCCTGTTGCCCAGGGTGGACAGCAGTATCAGCTCACTGCAGCCGACATTTTTGTTGCCCAGGCTGGTCTCTAATTCCTGGGCTCAAGTGATCTGCCTGCCTCAGCTTCCCAAAGTGCTAGGATTACAAGTGTGAACCACTGTGCCCAGCCAATAATGCTAATATCTAAAGGATGAGAAAAGCAAGGCAGAAACAATAGAAACCCCAGGGAATAAGTCACACAGTGTGGCTGCAGTGTAGTGCACATGTAGTAAGGACAGCTCAAGAGGAATCTGGAGAAGTAGCTGGGATCATGTTACTGATAGACTTTAACGCCAAGTTGATGAATTTGTCCTTAAAAAGATTAGGAATGGAGCGCTACCGAGTGAAGCAGGTAAGATGCTCATCACTGGGTGAAAGCAAATGGACTAGTTACATAAGAAATTACAAATTAAAGAAAACAAAATTATTAATAGTTCTGTAAGCTATTTGCATAACAATACACAAATGATTTTCTCTACTTTGTGGAGAAAACTCCACTGCTCTTGTACAATCACTGAATCCAATACTCTGTTAATTTTCAAGCTTCTGTTATTCATGAGAATTACCCAACCAAGTAGTAAGTGTTTAAGAGGGATCCTAGGTGTATAGCTACCTTATACATGAGAGTTTAAGGAAGTTGGTTTCAGAAGTAATCACATTGTTCCTGATAGTCATATCAGAATGTATTTCCAGGTCCACAGAGTTTAGTAAATACACACATGTCCACTTGCACACGACACACAAAATAAAGGAGAATTCACCATCCTAGAATTTATGAAGGTCTTCATAAAGGAGGTATTGTAGTTAAGAAAAAAGAAAGTGACAGGTTATGGACCAGGAAACCCAAATTCTAGTCTTGTTTTGCCACTGAGTAACAGTGAGACTTTGAGCAAGTCACTTCCCTTCTTTCGGTCTCAGAAACCTCATCTGTAAAACAAGAAGGATCTCACCAGAACCAACTCTAAGGTCTAACCACTTCTCTAAATATCAAAGGTTTCAAGCCGGCAGTCCACAAGTCAGATGTGGCAGGCAGGCTGTGAGGGCCAAAGCACTCACAAACAAAAAGAACCTGATGCTGAAATACTGGAAGATCTCACATAAAAATCCAGATTTTTCACTTTTTCTTGAAAACCCAGGAAATCTGGCAATATGAGACCTATATCCCCACATGGCCACAATCTGCTATGGCTGAGCAGGTGCTGCCCCCGATTGACCTGACCTATCTAGTTGTCTAGTTTACCAGTCTCCACCCTCTGCCTTGCTCATCTGTTACCTGCCTGAGTCTGTGACCCTTGCCATACACATAGGAAACATTCCCTGTATTTACTCACTCTACAGATATATGAGCCATGCACTGAGCCAGATGCTGTAAAAGAAATAAGCATCAGACATATCTACTTGAGAAATACAAACTCACTGTCAGAAATAACAGATCTGAGAGTGGAATTTCAAGTTATGGCAGAAGATATTATTTCAATTTTTCAAATATGGTTAAGAGATGGATCTGTAGCCTAGATCAGTATTTTCAGGAAAAGGAGTACGAATATTTGGTAAAAAGTTCAAGCTTCTTAAGTAGAAGACACAAAGTCAAGCCTTTCCCTATACAGTAAACCATTAAGTCCACAGGCTCTTTGTAGGATCACAAATGCAAGGCACTGCTGGCAGGCAGAGGGCTGTACATGAATGCAGAAGCTCAGCCCCAGTCATAAAGATGCTCCTTGACTATTTCAAATGTGAAAGCAATGGACCTGAAAACTGAGAATGGATCAGTCACTGAGGTGCACGTGCATATAAATATCCAGGTTCTGAGAACAGTGACCTAAGGTATTAACTCTCAGTCACGTGTGGACCAGGGGATCATCAGAGTCTCTGACCATTCTGGTTCTCTAAGACACATCATGGTTCTTTGCTTTGTCAGTCTCCTATCATGCAGAATTTTCCAGGAAACAAGATGTGCCTTCGTCATCTCATTACTGTCATACTGTCTTGAGAGTTCACCGCTGTGCTGTGCTGGTCCTTAAGTGCTTGTCATCCTTTGAGTATGTCTATGAAATGGTGCCATCGGTATTTTCCTTCATTGCTAGAAATCAGGCAAGTACAGGAAGCTGCAGAATGACTGAGTATATGTGAAATTCATAATTTATAACAGTAAACGAGAGCATGAATACCCATTAATAGAGACTCTGTAAGTTAAAATGATAGTAAAGACATAAAACATTCTGCAGCTGCAAAAGAGAATGAGTTGGAAAGCTACTCAGCAATAAAAAGGAATAAGCTATTGACACACATAACAACTTAAATGAATCTCAAGAAAATTACGCTGAGTGAAAAAAGCCAAAATGCCAATCCCAAAAGGTTACATACTGTATGACTTCATATTTATAACATTCTTTAAATGACAAGATTATAAAAATGGAGACCAGATTAGTGGCTGCCAAGGGTTAGAGATGGTGGGGTTGGGGGACTAGGAGAAAGGTGGAGGGTGGTTACACCAACCTACATATATGAAAGAATTGTATACAAATATACCCATACCATGTATTCCATGCCACGAAAAGAACAGAGATGCAGCTGAAACAATTTCTGAAATTTTTCAGTAAACCTCTTTATATTATGAAGGTACCTTTGGAAAACCAAAGAAGGAGGTGGGGGGGAGAGAAAATGTGAATATTTTATATATGATCTGAATGACCTCTAAAACATACTGGTAAAGGAAAAATAAGGTAGTGTGTGTACAAAAACCAGGTAAAAACATTAATACTTAATGCTTATCCACACAATTTTTCTCAACACTGGTTGCCTCTACAGATGGAGTCGTGGGAGGCTGAGGGTTAAGATGGATGGGACACTTGAACCTCCTGAGTTTTATACCTTTATGAACGCATTATTTATTCACAAAGTTACTTTCTTCTTGAATATGTGAAAATCAAGGCAAATCAATGATTCTGTGCCCTCACCTATGTTTATACCTGTGGTCTGACAACTACTTTCTGTTACTACTCAACCCCCTCTAAGTACTAAATTACCTTTTACACCTGAGCCTCTCAAGCCTCCGTACTAGTTCTGAAAATCAATGTCACTGGTTACCTGAAAATGCTTCTGAATAATTACTCTTTCAACACACTGTACTATTACATATGACATAGCTCAGTCTATGATAGCTGACTATAAAACGTGACAACTATCTTCAAGCCAGCTGGATATTTTGAATTTCAAAAAGAACACATGAGAACAAGTCAAAAAGTAACGATGATGGTGACTACTGATTTTTGAGCTTTTACTATGTGCTCAGTACTGTGCCAAGTAGCTTACATGCATTATCTCAATGTTTAATAGGTGTGTTTTGTTATTTTCATTTTATAGGCAGGAAACTGAAGCTCAGATAGGTTAAAATATTTCAGCCAGGCACGGTGGCTCACGCCTATAATCCCAGCACTTTGGGAGGCTGAGATAGGCGATCATTTGCTCCCAGGAGTTCAAGACCAGCCTGTGAAACATGGCAACAACCAATCTCTTAAAAAAAAAAAAAAAAAAAAAGGCTGGGTGTGGTGGTGCACACTTGTAGTCCCAGCTACCTGGGAGGCTGAGATGGGAGAATCACCTGAGCCCAGGAAGTTGAGGCTGCAGTGAGCTATATCGCGTCACTGCACTCCAGCCAACAGAGTGAGACCTTGTCTCCAAAAAAAAAAAAAAAAAAAAAAAAGTTGCTTAAGGTCATACAGCTTCTAGAAGAATCTGAACTTGTATTAGGGTCTGTGAATACTAAAAATGAGAAATCATTCTCCTTCTATGGCTTAGCAAAACTTATCTCAGCTGAGAATCTGTTGCTTTTATAATCCTAGTAATTAAGCCAGGCTCTAGACATCTTTACCAAAATATCTGCAATTTGCACAGTTAGCAGGATAAAATACTTAACACAAAAACTGAGGGGCCTACAAAATAAGAAAACCTCAGTTGAGATTCTTAGTCAATCTAATAAAAAATGTAATAGTCGATCTCTAGATGACATGGCACCTACTTTGGTTTGCTCAATGATCAAAACTCTTTCACGAGGAAAACAAATCCAACCAGAAAATTTAAGATTTTATCTTTGTCAATAAACTTCTGGATTTAACACTGATATCTGAATCAAACTCAAACTTCTAGAAAATTATATGAATCAACTGTCAATAGACTACTTGTGTATTATTATTAATGACTTCTGATTCTACAATCAGTCCCTGAATATTTCAAATACGGCACTTAACTCTAAATATTCTCAAACAGAAACATTTCTGGGTCTCGTCTACTGAATTCCTCACACAGGAAGTTTACAAGTAAAGTTAGATCACTTAAGTGAGAGATTTCACTTTCAGTTTAAAATGTCTGAAATCATCCTTTACAGAGCTGACAAAAAAAAAAAAAAAGCTGAAATACCCACCAAGGTATCAGAAACCTTTCCCAACATAAGATTATTTTAAGTAACATGACACCACAAAAGATTTAAAATAAAACTCATATGATTTAAACCAGCAACTTTCTAAGAGAAGACAATGTTAATAAAATTAAAATAAAATGCTAGCAAATAATGGAATCCAAAATTAGTCCTCTGCATTTCCAGGACACCTCTTAACAAACTTAAAATATTTGTATTATCAAGGCATTTTCTACCCACACCAAATTTCTTCTTCAAGATACCTTGGGCTTCCTATACGATACTGCTTCTAATAGTAATGTAAGTGCAAGAATTTTGTTAAGTCCCACATTGGACTAGCAAAATCAATTATCAGCTGGCTGTCTCTATTACTCTTTTTGGTGCCAAATCTTTTTTCATTAATCTCCTTGCATGAAGGTTGTTATACCCATTTTCTAAAGTAGGAGCACTCTATGTTCATTCTCTAAGGTCACGTAATCTATATCTTCTGAAAATTGGCAGAGGCCGTTTCTGACTATGTTAACTCTTCCCCAGCTTCCCACCCTGCCCTGGTATAAGAGCACAGACATAAAGCCATGGCTGTAAGGTGAAAACACACATATGCAAAATTACCCATGATTCCAAGTGACTCACGGATAATCACCACTCATTTCATTGGCATTCTAACTACTGTCAGAACATCACAAGGTTAAGGACAACTGAAATAAAGCATCCTGCAGAAGAACATATCGGCCTCCATTTCATCTGAACTAGAGAACACATTATGGAAGTTTTGTTTTTGATAATAGGCATTGGGTGGCTTTAGAAAGTAGTAAATGAGTCTTTGTACAAACAATAATTCTATTTGGCTATTTTTGCGACATATCTTCACTCTACATAATAAAGGCTGCTGAGAAAGGTCAGTACACAGAAATGTATTGTAGGCCAATAAGCAATGAAAATAGCTTATTAAATACTACAAACAGCAGAAGTTATTTAATGTAGCAATTTATACATTCAATATTGACTTAATGAACTTAAAGTCACTTGCTTAAAAATTCAGATTTTCAGGGAAGATAAAAGTACAGAAAGTTGTTAGAATTTCCATTAAATTAGGGGTATTCAGTACTATAATATCAATTTGTTGAACCCAAAGTGATACTATTCAAATGCTAGTAACTATTAGCTCTATTCATACAGTCTTTAATGTAGGTCATAAAAGTAAAGGATTTTCATCTGTGGCCTGAAAGAGAATATTTCAAAATATTGAAGTCTTCAGTGAACACATTTACAAATTACTGAGTTGGATTACAAAATGCAAATTATGCTTGAGGAAGAAGGCTCTCTCATCTTCTTTCATGCTAAAAGATGACTTTTTTCTTTGCAGGATGAAAAAGGGAAGAGTCCCTTTTCTGTGTTTACATAGAAATAATATTTGGGTTTTATCTCTGTATGTTTCTGGGTTCCACCTGGTATTAACCACAAGAGAGGAAATTCTGTGCAGAAGGCCATGCTTTCCAGTAATGAACAATCTGGCAAGAACTTGAAAACCTGACAGGCTTAAAGGTTACATGCCAGAGTGCTCTGCATCTTTATACTCTTTCCCTGCAATCTTCATTTAAAAATCCACAATTCAAGTTCAAATGAAGGCAACAAGCTTGAGTTCCACAGAATACATCAGTTCTGTCTACCAGAATTCAAAGCCAGATCAGGAAAAAATAAAAACCTAACAGCATAAAGGCAGAAAGTGAAAAGAAGAAGGAAGGAAAGAAGAGAGGGAAGAACAGAGAGAGGATCAAAAAAAATTTTTAAATAAAGCATCATGTTACAGAATGGATATGCTCCAGGGAACTGATGAATATTTGAACTTGGTCAGTCTTCAAGACACAAAGATAGAGAAATCAGCTATAAAACAAAGATGAGTGTTTTGAACATCATTTGAACCCTGTGTTTTACAACATGTGCTACGGAATCATTGAGCCATATAATATTCAATGAAAAAAAGGTTTTGGGATGTTCAGCTAGCATTTAATTAGGACATACCATATTTAAAAAGCAATTAAAAATAAAATTAAGAAAACAAGAGAAAAGGGCCCATGCTGTATAGCCCATGAATCTCATCGGCTTTATCATGAAAGTTTATTGTTTTTAATCCTAGTACAATCAGCTACCAGTTACATACAGTAAAAAACAGAAACAGCCACAAAGCAATGATGATAGAGATAGTCTGTGACATTGTACAGTGGAGGAAATACTCTCTGTTGGAATCCTCCAGCAGACCCCCGCCTGGCTTCAGCAGTTAAGCTATCACTCCCTCCCTCCCCAAAACAGTTAAAAGAAAAATTAACGTCTTGCTTGGGTACAGCAAGATTCTAATACCTCTTGGGGACACTGGAGAACTTTAAAAAAAACTAAAGCAGTAGAAACAAAACAAGAACTGAAACGTGGAAGCAAGGTGACACACAAAGAAGCTCCGCGAGGCCTTGGCTTCAGACCACCTCAAAGCGAACCACCTGGAAAGAAAAGAAAAGGCTGTCACACCTGGAAAGAACAGGCAAAAAGTTCAGTAGCCCTTAGTATAACATCATTTCAGTCCTTCCCAAATCTATAGAATTCAAGTTTTTCTCAAGGTTTTTATTTTTATAAGTGAGCCAGCTTGCAGAAAATGGCTTCCTTTTCTAATAGTATTGTAAATGTTAACAACTAGTACATACTTACTCTTTCAGAACTATAAAATAACACAAGAAGAGAGCATTTTTAGCAAAATATGCTGTCTTCTTTATCTCAAACCCTTTGAAGCAACCACACAGTAGGCTATTTATATGACTGTGTACTCTTACCTTAGAGGAATAATGACTCCGTTCAAAAACTAAGTCTCATATATATTTGGTTCGATTGAGGGCTTTTTCAGCCAGGTGACCACTTTCATCTGTGATCTTCTCCCAATCAGTCTGTCCGACCACAAAACCTATGGCCCTTTTCCTATCTGCATCCTTCTTCTCTTCCAGGTCTGCCCATCTGACCTAAAAAGAACATAGCATTAGGCTGAGCTTTAGGAAAAATAAATATGCAAAGAGCCCCCTCCCTCTCTGGACAGTCTAAGGGGTAGAATGACTCATTTGAAACCGCAAGTTTAAAAAATTAAAAACTAACCCAGGAAAACTGGGAAAAGCCATATATTTTAAGTCACAAAGAGAAAACTCTCTGGACAATCCAAGTCCTAACCATTCCAGCTCCTGAACAGTTCAGCTCAATCCTGTCCTCTCTTTCTCCTCTGCCATTCCTTTTTATTTAATAATTCACTGACCTCATTTTTTTTTCACCTGAAAGCAAAGCACTAATCTCTACCTAGTCTTCCTGTCTGTACTCACCCGCTCCAGATTCATGCTGCCAGAGTGATCTTCCTAAAACACACAGTTGTGATTCATTTGCTTTAACTCCTTCCCCTACCTACCAGGCAAAGTCCAAGAACTCAGGTCCCTCTTGATCTGGCCCCAACTACACTTTCCTGCAACATCTCTGGCCAGTGCCTATGGCATTTTATACAAACAATACAGACTTCCTTCTAGCACTCAGAGCGCATCGCACCATTTCATGTCTCTATAACTCTGCATATATGTACTAGTCATTCTTCCTGAAATGTCTTTTCCCTAACCTTATCCACTTGGCATGAGTCTAGTCATCCTTCCCTGACTTACCCCTTTTTCCTTTGCCAATCAAATAATCACTGCTTTCCACAGTTAACTTCCGGATTTTGATATGTCTGCTTTTGAACTTCCACACCGTAGTATAATTATCCACTTACAGATCTGTCTTCCCTAACAGACTATCAACACCCTAGATCAATAACTGAATTTTATTTATCTCTACACAAAAATATTTCTTGAAATTTAATCTTAGAGAAAACAGTAAGCTGGTATTATTACTTTCATTCATGAGATAAAGAGACCAAGAAACAGACTCAACTGATATAATTCATGGCAAGATTACAACTACAAATATATGGATCAGGGATATTTCCTATTGGTATTCTGATTTTTAATATATATATATTCTTACATATTATGCTTTTTAAAAATTTTTGTAATTTTTTTTTTTTTTTTTAGAGTCAGAGTCTCACTATGTTGCCCAGGCTGGTCTCAAACTGCTGGACTCAAGCAATCCTCCTGCCTTGGCCGCCCAAAGTGCTAGGATTACAAGCATGAGCCACCATGCCCAGCCACATATTATGTTAATATGTTTTTAAAAGTATATGGAGATATACATATTCTGTAAAAGTTCAGATTCTTAAAAAGAAACTATGAATCTGTTGCTTGCACTACACAGTATCAAAGACTGCAGAGAATGTATTTTAAACATGGCTTGTGATTTATTATCTGTGACAAGGAGAGAGAACCAGAGCATGGAAACACCATGCTCTTTACACTGAACCTGGGAATGCATTATTGCTCTAATGTACACTAATTACCATTTGCATGACTAGCAATGAAATAACTAGGCTTTTAACAGTATCACCTGGTCAAAGGGAGGAGCCAAAGTAATAGCAGTGGGAAGAAACTGGTAACATCTGACTTTCCAGAAAGTAGGTTTTTAGTGTATAGAAAACCTATGGCTCAATGTCTTTCATGGGCTTTAGTAAGAAGCCTAATAAATAATGTGGGCTTCAATATAGAAAAATCTTTGGGCATTCTGCTCATCAATGCTGAAGTACCTATTTTGATTAATTCATATATACAGCCAGGCACAGTGGCTTACACCTATAACTCCAGCACTTTGGGAGGCCGAGGCCGGCAGATCACGTCAGCCTAGGTGTTCAAGACCAGCCTGGGCAACAAGGCGAAACCGTGTCTCTACTAAAAATACAAAAATTAGCTGGGCATGGTGTGTGGTGGGTGCCTGAAATCCTAGCTACTAGGGAGGATGAGGTGGGAGAATTGTTTGAGCCTGGGAGGCAGAAGTGGCAGTGAGCCAAGATCACACCACTGTACTCCAGCCTGGGTGACAGAGAGACCCTACCTCAATAATAATTAATTAATTAAATTTAATTCATGTATATTCTCTCAGCTCCACCTGGATCAAGGATACACATTTTAGCGAAAGATCATTACGAACTAAGTCTTGGGCATTTATGTGAAAACACAATACTGTGCTCAGGATGCCGTGGGAATGGATTTAAATTTGCTGTGGGCTGGTTACTTTTTCTTTGTTCAGTGGCCACAGTTTGCCCCTTATATGGTAAGGCTCATTGAATAAAGAAAAAGTAAACAGCCCACAGCAAATTTAAATCCATTCCCACGGCATCCTCAGCACATAGTTAAATATACTTATCAACCTCAGCACATAGTTAAATATACTGATCAATCTCACCTTGCTACTTTTAAATCTACAGTTTAAATTCTAAGTTTTAAACTCAGATAAAATAAAGAATATAGGATTAGAAGAAAAAATGTGTAGGTGTTTTTGAAATGAGTAGTATGTTTGCGAATAAATGTTCAAGATTTTAACATTGGAATTAGGCCAGGCACAGTGGCTCACGCCTGTAATCCCAGCACTTTGGGAGGCTGCAGCAGACAGATCACCTGAGGTCAGGAGTTTGAGACCAGCCTGGCCAACATGGCGAAACCCCGTCTCTACTAAAAATACAAACAAAATTAGCCGGACGTGGTGGTGGGTGCCTGTAATCCCAGCTACTCAGGAGGCTGAGGCATGAGAATGGCTTGAACCTGGGAGGCAGAGGTTGCAGTGAGCCAAAATCACCACTGCACTCCAGGCTGGGCAACAGAGTGAGACTCTGTCTCAAAAATAAAAAACAAAAAAACAAAAAACAAATGAAGTTGGAATTAAAATATTTTGGAAACTATTGTATTTTGTTAATATCTCTAATTTATACTGATGCTATAGTAAAATTATTTATTTACATGTTGAATTCCTCCACTGGATGTCAGCTCCTTAAGAGGACTCATTCATAGACTTCGTACAAAGACATTCAACATATGGAATGAATAAATGATTACCGAACCACTAAACATACAAGGAGCAGAATAATGACTTTCAGCTTGAAATGGCTTCTTGAATATCAGTGTCCCTTTTAATTTTCCTAGAGGTACTTTTGAGACTTACGACATTTTTGCTGTTGTTTTTTCCTGTAAAAATAAATTTGTTATAATACAGAAAAATCTTAACTAGCCCTCAAAGGTTTGAGGTACTTATATTTCATCCACTGTAACTATAAGTATTTCTAAAATATACAAATTCAGCAAACAAACAAGGGAAAGGTTCACCTTCCATAGTCATCAAAGAAATACAAATTAAAGTCCAAGTAAGCTACCATTTTATACCCAAGCAAGCAAATATTTTAAAAGTAAATTATATTTTAAAGCCTAGCCATTTAGGCAAAATTCTAATATAACCAACTCTACAGAACCACGTTTTTGTTATAGAGGAAGTTAATCCCAAGAACCCATCTGATATCTGTAACAAGCTGAATCACAGAAACAAAGAAACCCAAGAAGGAATGAGTAATGTACAGCATTCTGTATTCTTTGCTACCTGTAGGATCTCCTGTGCTCTAATGTTGGTTTTGGTGAGTGGTTCAAGAGTTAAAAACTATCTGAAGTCAAGGTATAAGGCAGGGGAGGAGACTTAAAGAGGAGCAACTTTAAAGAACTAGAATGTGCACCACTCAGTTCTCTTTGGTCACCCAACCTAATAAAATAAACTGCATGGGATTACATACTCCTCAGTGAAGACAGTGATAGTTACCTGAGTAAAAACAGAGAAAATATTTCTCATTTTAGATTACTAATTGTTACCAGAACTACACTTTATTATTTGCAAGGAAGGGCCACTTCTGCCTCTGTTGGCTCCAGCCTTAAAACTGGAGTAAGAGGTATCACTATAAGCAGTCCTTTGGTGAGGCTGGGTGCAAATGGCAGTGGGCTCTCCCTTACCCATCCTTTGAAGCTACACAGACAAGGGCAGGCTTTGGAGTATCTGCAGTATTTTAAAAAGCTTTGAAACCTGGATTCTTTGTAATGGTGCCCATTACTAAGTACACTAAGCACATTAAGGCACTGAGAAAATTCGTTAAGAAAGAAATACAAAGAAATGATGCATAAAGATAAATGATGCACAACCTCATTCTTAGTAAATAAATGAAAAATGAGATACTATTTTTTTCACCTATCAGATTGTCAAAAGTTAAAGAGTTTGATTACAGCACTGCTGTAGAAAAACAGGCAATTATTTGCATGTAAGCGTGTAAAGAGAGACATACACACCACAACCTTCACATCTGTACTGGCAATAAATGGAAACACTGTAAGCATCCATCAGTAAAGACATTATGGTTTGGATGTTTGTCCCCTTCAAATCTCATGTTGAATTGTAATCCCCGATACTGAAGGTGTTTGGGTCATGGAGGAGGATCCTCGTGAATGTCTTGGTGCCCTCCTGACGGTAATGAGCGAGTTCACACTCTGAGTTCATGTGAGATCTGGTTGTTAAAAGGAGTTGGGACCCCCTCCCCTTGGTTCCTCTCTCGCCACGTCACATGCTGGCTCCCCCCTTGTCTTCCACCATAATTGAAGACTTTCTGAGGCCTCACCAGGAGCTGATGCTAGCACCATGCTTCTTGTACAGCCTGCAGGACAGTGAGCCAAAATAAACCTTTTATCTTCATGAATTACCCAATCTCACGTATTCCTTTATAGCAACGCAAACGGACTAACACAAAGGGACTAGTTAAATAACTGATTGTACAACCAAACAATGGGACACCAAGTAGCCCTTTAAAAAGAATGGTAGTTCTGTATATGCTTATATAGAAAGATCAAGATGGATTAGCTGAAAAAGACTTCTACACAACAGTATATATAATACGATCCCTTTGCTTTATTTTGTTTTAAAGGATATACACATCTATCACTATCGAATTCAACATTTATGTAAAGACCTATCTAATATCCTAGCTTCATTTCTCTATTCCCTTTCACAGCAAAACTTCAAAAAGTTGCCTATATATGCTGTACTGTACTTCATCATTTCTTATTCATTCTTTAATCTGCTCCAAACTGGTTTCTGCTGCCTCATCACTGTAGACTGATGACAAACTACAATCATCAGTGACCTCCATGTTGCCAACATCTAGCAGCCATTTATCTGTTCCAAACTTACTTGTCTTTTCTGCATCATTTAAAAACTGACTATACTCTTTCCTTCTTGAAACACCTCTATCTGAACTAAATTTTGGAGGTCTGGCGTCCTATTACCTTTTCCATTTATACTTTTTCCTTGGGCAAGATCATTCAGTCCCACGGTTTTAAATACCATTTCCTGAAATTTGTTAGTTCAGTCTGATCTCTCTGGTGAGTTTTATACTAATAAATCCAACAGTCATTTTGACATTTTCACTTATATTTCTAACTTAATTAGAAGAAAAATTAGAATTTCTCTCACAGAACTTAAATCATTTCTCTCAGTTCCAAAAATTATGACCTATGACTCCCCCAGTTTTCTCTCTCACTAAATGGTACTACACACATGCAGTGCTCATGGCCAGAGTACCAAGGGGTCACCCTTGATCTACCTTTGGACCCTCCACATCCCATCCATTAAGAAGTTCCACAGGTTCTCTTCAATACCCTACTCTGTACCTGGCTTTTTTTGCCCCATGACAAAATAGCACAAGTGACTGGCCACTCCCAATGCCTTTAAGGTTGACAACGTGCTAGCCATGTGAGGTTCTGTTCTCCAATTTTTTAAGCTACTTGTACATTTTGATGAGATAATTTATAAGGTATGACTCCTTCTTGGGATACATGACATAGCGTAAACTAAATCATTCTAAAAATAGCATCCATGTGATCATCTGCCTGTAACTTCCTAAAACCAGATGCCTAAATGGGCCCTTCATTTGTTGGCAGTTATTGACAAAGTCTCTTACCCTCTTCTTCCCAGGCTCAGAAGCACGAGTATCATAATCATCGGGGAGCTGAAGATAATCCTCCATTCTGCTGGCAATGGCCTCCCAGTCACGTTTCCTTTTAGTACCAGTCCTCAAGCCATCCAACTTGTCTGAGGGACAAACACAGAGCCGTAGCATTAAGGAAGAGTGTGAGTTTGCACACGACACACACACAGGGGAAAAGAAGGCTGGAACGCTTTCAGAGGGCATATCCACATTTTTGAGTGCAGCATCACTTGCAGATCCAAACTATCTTCTTGGCTGAGATAATATCAAGTTCTGTGCAATTTCCATTGTTTGGTATTCACACTGGTAGCCATTATGTTTACGATGTTGGTTTAAGAGCAAATATGGGCAAGGCAAGAAAAGGCACTTGGCTCCTGGCCTCCTTGTCCTCCCACCCACCACAGTTCTCATTTTCTGATGGCAAATGCAAAGTTGGGCTTTTCTAGACAGTGTCTTCCATTCTTTTTTTCTTTAACACAATATTAACACCACCCATTTCATCTGAAATCATGTTTGATACTGTGTCATATGAAAAGCAGGTTGTACCAAGAACTCAATGAGCCAAGCTAATGTTTAAGGTTTTAGATGAACATTTTTTTTTTTTGGATTTTGGTTGCTGTGAGTGCATTCACCATGAATTAATGTTCATGAAAAAGCTGACTATATGAGATCACCACTTTCTTTGCTTATACTATGAAGTTGACCATTCTGAGGCTAAGGGCTAGTCAGACAATTTTACCAGACCTGGTAATTCTTTCTGAACCCTGAATCTGAGAGGGCTAGGCTTTCCAACAACTCAAAAACTGTAATCAATTAATGAATAGGGATTGCGGATTCAGAAATTATGAGATATGAGTTTAGGTGTCTTAAAGAAGAACACGCAATGAAAATGTGTTGAGTCTTTTATTGGTTATTAATAATTGATTTTGAATACTACATGTAGGATATTATGAGTTATATACATTTTTTGCTACAATGAAGCACTAAACTTTTGAATCATCTGAAGTTATAGAAACACACTAGTATTAGGCAGGCCAATGAAGAAAAGCCTAAAAACTTCAGAAACACAGCATAACCACACTTCATTGAATTCCATAAAGAGTGTATATAATAAAAATCTTTCAGACACCACGTTGGAGAGAACTTGGTATGAAAAGTGCAATGAAAGCAGTGGCAGAAAGGGTGAGTTTACGTTTCAAATATAAAAGTTTTACACACAACTGTTACAAGCTTTAAAAACCAGTAAGATTTTGCATTCTTGGCAAAGTTTTTTGTTCCTAAGCCCCCTTCCCATAAAAGTGATTATCATTGAAAAATCAGTAAGGCGAACTGCAACAGTTTATAAAACTCACAAAAATTTTAATCATCTCATTTTGGCAAAATTTTAACATGTATGGATTCCACAGATCCAGTCTTCTAATTTCTGGAATCACATGGCTCTATCTACGTGTATATGACGGGCCGTATTATACATGATCTTAAAGAAGTGACCCCCTGACTGCACAGGGACACAGGTTATGGTATTAGAAAACCAACGAAGTCCCACAAACAATAAAACTGTTCTTGGTTCAACAGGGTACAGTATTACCAGAAGAGACAGAAGCTCCAACACACTTATTAGATAAACCTCAAAGGATTTCCAAACTTAATACGATCAACTTTGACATTAACATACTTCAAAGTAAAAATTTCATATTTCAGTTCCAACAACAGAGCACAGCCAGGCAGCAATACAGAAGGGCAGTGTGAAAACTGCAAGAACTTTTCCTCATACACTGGGTATATATGACAGGAGTTACAGTTGCAACATGGAATTTCAGAAGAGCATGTATTTCTAGTCTGAGCACCCTTTTTGAAATGTTTAATTTGAAATTTTATTGTGCAAATATGTTTAAAGTTTCCTTCTTGGGCTGAAGAAAGGCTCACACCTCTTCCACATGGCATACTGGAAACCAAACACACAGATGGATGGCATAAGGTGAGGGGAAAGAAATCTGGGGTGTTAATTACAGAATAAAGACTGGTGTTCAATACATGCACACTAATGATTTTCAGAGATTTCAAAAGATGAAGTTTTAAGATGAAGATGAAGTTTTAAATCCAATATGGCAGGTCACAGAATTTTACCACATATTTGAAACAGTATGTATTATAGCACAACAGAAAAATTCCTTAGATACATCTATGTATTTTCTAAATGTAAATGGTATTTCTGAAAATCTGTTCAACGTAAACATACAAGATTATGCACCTATACAAATAATAATTATATTCCAACTCTGAAGAGATGAATCTGTCTGACATGTAGAAAACCAATATACAACTCAAGAGTAGAGACAAATGACACTGAGATGAGAAAAGCAAAAGTACTTTATATGAAGAAACCTAAATTAGGATGGTAACAGTCTCAAATATTCTAGCTTCACAGTATGAGAAACTAAAATCATGTCACTGGAGTTTAAGTAGCTTCAATGCTGAATCCCACCACCTGATGTGGCAAGTAACAACCTGCCCTTGCATTATGATGCCTGTGTCCCAGCAGGGAAGAACCAGTCTGGTGGGACTGAAGGTGGGCCACAGGCAGCCTTCAACAACTCCATGCCAGAGGTAGCTCAGGCCTGTTCTGAACTGTTCTAAAAATCACATCACTTCCAATTTAACATTCAGGCACAGGCTGAACTGTGTACTAAACTTAATGAGCATAGACCAAGAATCTGCAATAAGCTCTAACCAGCTGCTTCAAAGACTATAGGTAAGTATGTTCTCACTGGCAGACTCATTTGTGAATCAAAATTCCTCTGTTTCAGATTCAACTGTTTTTGCTCAACATGTGACACTGCTAAAACTTAATACATTTCCACCCAGTATAATCATTTTCCAAGAGTAATTGGAGAATGTTGGTAAAGTACTCAGAAAAATAAATTGTACTTGGTAATCAAATTATATTAAATTTGTTATGATAAGGAAGGCAACATAAATAGGCTACAAGATCCGACACAAGATCCTCATGTTTTAGAGAAGAATCTTCTCAGTTGGCTCAATGGACCAACCTCAAAGTACTAAGCACTTTCAAGAATGCACACTAAATTTGCCTTCCTCTGTGGTGGGATTAGCTCTCAATACAGTGGTGCAAGATACAAGTCCTTATATACAACATCACTATCACTCTTGTTAAAAAATAAAAACCCGACTGTAAATATGTTAAAATTTATTTCCTAGATTTATTACCAGATCTTCAGTGCCTTTCACTGAAATGGTTTGTTTTAAAAATCCATTTCTGGAATTCATTGTCTACTATTCTGTCTTTAAAACTGAAAATTTGTATAAAATGTTTTTTTCTGAGAAGCAAATGGTAGACGGGCCAGAATGTTTTCCAGAAATTCCAAGAAATACCAATATTAATATATATTCTTGAATAATCATCACAACTAAATTCCCTTTTCCTTTTAAAAACAGAAAGAAAAGTAAAAGATGGACTGGCTTGAGTTTAAAACAGCATTACCCCAGATCATGTATTACATGAGGCCTCTAGAGATTACAAGTTAATATTTATCACTTTTACATTCCCCTTAACTATCTTTATTTATGATCTCTCTTTGCCCTAAAGGATAATCAATATTTAAGAGAACCAGAAGAGAGAAATGATCTTGGCATATTATGGGTCATTCTAATGTACAGAACTTCACAGAGAGTTAATCTAACGTCGAAATAAGCAGAACTAAAGCATTATTATTATTTTAAAAGTATTTTGTAATTTTTATTTTCCTACATATTTAATTGCATTTAAACACATAAGTGCTTTAAGGGTCTCTGGAAGATGACAATTGGTTATTATTAAGATTTCCCACAGAGGGAAGACTACTAGAAGAATATGTCAAAAACCACATATAATTTTCACATGACATAAACTAAAAAAAATCTTTTAGACTTGACAACAAAGCACCTATACCAGTAATGTAATAATAAAGTCCGTGGAACTGTCTTTTAACACAGAACCTAGTCAATACCAACTACTAACACAAGTAGTTGGGGCAAATTAAAGGCACAACTTATGTAATTGCATGTAAAATGCACTCCTCTGATGTCAGAAACACATGTCCCAAGCAATGAAGCAGCTCAGTGACTCAAACTTCCTGTATCAATTTAAGATACTTAGATGGTTCCTTTAGTTTTGGAGTATAATACCAGGAAAAGAAACATAAACTGACAGTCATACTTCATACATCAGTAAGGCTGATCTCAAAAAGTCCTTAGCACATTGTTTTAGATTTTTATTAATACATCTTAATCAACATGTTAAATGGTTCTCTTTAAGCGAAGTAAAACTGAAAAAATATTTTGCAGTTTTCACCAACAAATAATAGAGGGAATCCATTGGATATGTATGACTTTTTTGTTTGACAGATAACTTCACATTAAGCAACTCCAAATTCTGATTTAGACAATCATTTAAACTGGTTTACCTTGGAATTTGGCATTAACAATTTGAAGAAAAATTTAAACTGAATCTTATAAAGCAGGCTCCTCAAAAACCTGAATTATATATCTACTCCTCTCTACTCAGAAACTCTCATTTATTATACAAGGAGAATAAATGCCTTTTAATTAATTTTAAACTTTATATTATTTTTATTATCTAAAGTATTCATAATCAGGTTTAACTTTGGACTGCATTTAAATATTCTTTAAAAAAGAAATCTCATCAGCACCAACATTTCTGATTAATATAAAAGAATAGATTTTATAAGTGACAATATTTTGTTGCTAAATTATCAAATATTTCTGTTGACTCTAAAAACTTTAAATAGTATTGAAAGCAGTTCTTTTAAAATACTTATCACTTTGTTACAAGATATAAAAACTAGCAAAATAGATTGGAGGATATAAGGTAGGCCAGAAATCTCTGTTCAAGTAGAAGTTTTAGGAAATTTGTTCCTCTTATAGCAGAAAGATCTATGACCATTACCATCAGGTATCACATATAAAAACAGGAAAAAGGAAATACCCACCTAGCTTTGCCTCAGATGTGTCCATCTCCCATTTGCTTTTCGGAATGTAACCCTAAATCGTACACAGAGAGAAGCTCGAAGGGTTAGAAAGAGACACATACATGCATATCACGTTTGAACTGGAAAAGCATTAAAACTGGGAATGGATTCAGTTTCCACTGACTAGCTGTAAATACATCCTTAGGGGAAACACAATCTCATTATCTTTGAAGAAACTAAATGACCAAATTCACCAAACTTCACTGTCCACATTTCAGAGTAGTCACTTCAGAATAGTATCATGAAGGCGCTTTGAGGCAGCTACAGTTCAGGACTCACAATTGTAGTCTGAACAACAGCTGTATAGCAAATATGATAAGAATGTACAGGTAGTTACTGTGCTAATATTAATATTACTCAGAGTATCAGAGAATTTGTAATACTAGCTAGGTTATCTTCTAAATACAACTGCTATTCTCAAGTGATAGTAGCTATAAGATGCAAAAAGTGTTCTTCAAGATAGTTACTTTATATTTCAGTAATCTTAAGTACTCAAAAGAAAGGAAAAGAATTGGTGGCACTTAACCCAATTACCCGATTAGGAAGTTCAACTTCATTTTAAAATGACTCAATTCATTTACCAGTTAGAGCATACAACGGCTAATTTTACTGAATCAAATTCAGAACATTTTTATCAGTTGAAAACTAGATTATTATTTCTGATGTTTTTTAAAATTATGTTTTCCTCTTACATGAAAAACCAGAAATCTCCACTGGCAACTTACATCTTATATTTCATAAAATAACTGGGTGGCTTATTTCAAAGTCACTCCCAAAAGATTTTCAAATTTCCCAGTGTGCCTATTGAACTATGCAGTAATCATTTCTGTTTATTCACCTAGCAAGTATATGCTTTTACCATGTGATTTATCATTATTCCCCTTTACCTTCATTTAGACTGTTTTCCATTAGACCTAACATACAGAAATGTTAATATTGGAACCTAGTAAATAGGACAGATTCATCAAAGGTGTCAGTATCCTCTTTTATGAATCAATCTATCTCTCTACTGTTGGGAATGTTCAAGTTCATGAAACAAACTGACACACAGGTAAAGTAAGTCACAAAGCATTTTGAAGATTTCATGATGATAGCTTCTGTGTAAGAGTTTACTAGAGCATAATCCTATGGGTTTCATACATTTCTAGTCTACCAGCCAGAACTAATAATTCAATTTCAACTTACTAGGTAGTATTTTGGATTACAAATTATATATTTCCCAAATACATTTTTTAGAACAAACCAAGACAAAGCTATACTGAAGTGATAGTGCTAAAAGTACTGAAGACAAGTTACATCTTAAAAATCATCTGAAAACTTTAAGCATCACTGGAATAATATATTTATAAATTTTATCTACTAGGTTCACTGAAGCACTAAAGGAGGCAAACTATCATACCAATGATCCCCTACAAACGATTATCTTTACCAACAAAACTTTGGATTTCATCCAGCTATATTAATTAGTGCAGAGTGGAAAATGCAAGGTTTACTGAGAATTCCATTTAAATGATCTGAGTGGTTGGTATGAAACTTGCTCTTAACCCTTGGTTAACATATTCTCCAAGAATCTTTTACTCTTGGAATGGACTCCAATAGTAAAAGATTTCAATTCTGCATCTTTGAATGGGTTAAGAGAAGTTTTATAATCAAGTCAGGCAGACAAGTGTATTCATTTCCCCCTGCTGGAATCATCCTGTGCTTCCTTTAAACTATATTACTCTCCCATTGCTTGAAATTGTAGGCCACTTGGAAATAAAACAGATAATCCAGCAGGGTAGAATTTTAAGGCCTCCTTGCCATGACTCTGATGTAAAAATATAGTATTACAGTGTGTTTCACTTTAAAAAGTAATAGTACATTCAATTAAAAGTTCCCAAGTTTTGACCTACACCTAAGCAAGTCAGATGTTATGAACCACTGAAATCTCCACAAAAGAAAGACGGAGCTTCAGAAAGCTAAAACATTATAGACTTCTCACGTAATCAGTTTCTAGTACACACGCTGCAAATGGCTAAAGAAGTCATTAGCCATATTCCAGAAGAGCGTGGACCTTGTAGTGAATATCCTGCCTACATTTTAAATTATATATGCCAAAATACAACTTAAGAAAACTAGATTTAAAAAAAACACATACTGAGACTCAAATGCCATTAACTTTAAAACTTATTTTTTAATCCACATTTGAAATCTTGGAATGTAGAGGTTGACACCATCTTTATATAAACACAGTTTTTATCAAGAGTCCTCTATATCACACACGGGTTCGATGGGACCACTCCCTGGAGATTCTGTATACTCTAGGGGGTAGGAATCAGAGTTCTCATTTTGTACATTTTCAAAAGAATATGAGGAGCAACTTTAGCAAGGGCTCAAGTATTAAATAAACCGAGTAATATTCTGGATTTAAAAAGCAACACTATTCCAAGGCATTGCTAATCTCTGTACTTCAGTAAACACTGAAAAGTCAACGTAACTCTATAGGTCGCATATTCTTGAATGACAGGGAAAGGCAAACATCTCTACAGAGGTGTGATCGAAAGCATTTTACATTAGGTACACAGAAACTTTAAACTCACACTATGTAAGCCTCTAATCAGCCTGAGCAAAATCCATTGCCTACACAGTCATTTAATTTTTCCCCGTCACTTAGGATAAAATGCAGAAGAACAAATCTAGCAGCCAGTGGCAACCCTCTGCCTCCCCATTCAATAAGTTCTTCTGCCTCTGTTGACAGAAACTCAAATTTGGAGATCTTGTAGCAAAGAAGAGACAATTATGCATATGTTGGGTAGGCTGTGCCACATATCTGCTGGAATGTAAGAATGCCCTTTCATATGTAATTGATTTTCTTAAAAGGTATACTCCCCTAAAACCACCCACAAATAGATGAGTACAAGGGTAAGTTTCTTAGCACTCTGTTAAAACTTTCTCTTAACACCACATTAGAGGGTTCTTTTGGTCTGGGGAAAAATAAAGAGTATCCAAAAGTCTCCTTGAAGATGATTATGGAAACTTTTACCACTAAAGTGTATATCAACAGTAGTTGTCTAACCACAGATCTGAATTTAAACCTTCTTTAAGAATTTTAATAAAGAGACACTGTTCAAAGTGGTTGGTCTGTCTCCTACCAGTTCGCTTTCCTCTTCCTCTGCATCTTTCTTTTCTTCTTTCTGTTCTTCGATATTTGCATCAAAATCTTCCATCTCTACCTATACCAACCATTAAAAAAAAAAAAAAAGACTGAGTTAACATTTAGCAAAATATTGACTCCCTCATTGAGATCTGGAATGAATACAGTTGCCCAGAGCAAGACAGGCTCACTGTTACATACCAAGTAATTTTTAACACCCTAAATTTTGAAACAGAACTGATAAAAGACAGGATACTACTGCCTTTAATTTTCCTTGAATATCCATCTGTACAATTCCCTGTAAAGTTAAGTATAAGTGCTAAGTAGATGGTTACCTATTTTGAATGCCTATGGATTACTAGACTTTTAAAAATCTTTAACGAGTATTTTTCCAATCAGGTAAAAACATGTCAATGATTCAAATTTCAAAATATAAGAAAAAGTATAGTGAAAAGTGGGATGATATTGGCTTGGCCCAGAGTGGTAGCAACGCAAATAAGCAGATGAGTTACAGAGGTCATTAAAAGGTACAACTGACTAAACTTTCTTGACTACATGACAGGTCACAAGGGCAGAGTAAAGAGTCAGGCCTGGGCACAGTGGCTCACGCCTATAATCCCAGCACTTTGTGAGGTTGGGGCAGGAGGATCGCTTGAGTCTAGGAGTTCAAGACCAGCCTGGGCAACATAGTGAGACCCCATCTCTAAAAAAAAATAAAAAATTAGCTGGGCACAGGGCATGCGCCTGTAGTCTCAGCTACTCAGGAGGCTGAGGTGAGAGGATCATTTGAACCCAGGAGGTGAGGCAGCAATGAGCTATGATCATGCCACCGCACTCCAGCCAGGGCAATAGAGTCAGACTCTGTCTCAACAATGACAAAAGAGTCAGGGATAACTCCCAGAGCACCGGTTTCAGCAATCAAGTGGTTAGGGTTCTAATTACTAAAACAGAGACTACTAAATGAAAAACAGGTTTGGACGAACAATATTTTGGATAGGTTGAGTTTGAGGTATACTAAGATAATATATATTTTTTGTAGAGAATTTGGAAAATAATAGTAAAAAGAAGATTATAAAAATCACCTATACTCCCTCCATTCAGAAACACTACTATTTAGATAGTAATATAATTCAATCTAGACTTTATAACATTAATGGCACGTAAGTGACAATCTAAGCTACCGGAAAGATTCAGATGATCTATACAGAGGGTACAAAATAAAAACAGAGCCTAGGATGGAGCCCTAAGGGGGCCCTTTTAAAGAGTGAGAAGCAGGAGAAGCCAGTGAAGGAGACTGAAAAGAGATAGCCAAAAAAGTAAAAGGAAAACCAGAAAAATGTGAATTCACAAAAGCCAAGAGAAAAATATGTTTTTTAAGAAGGTGGGCATGGTCAACTATATTACATGTGGCTACAAAATTAATCAATAGAGGAAATGAGAACTGTCCACTGCCACGGAAATCATTAGTGAAAGAGTTGCCAGACAATGGTAGTGGCAGAAGCCAGAAAAAAATGGGTTGAGAAATGGCATGGGAATTAAAAACACATAAAAGAACAATGACGGTTGGGCATGGTGGCTCACGTCTGTAATCCCAGCACTTTCGGAGGCTGAGGTGGGCAGATTACTTGAGGCCAGGAGTTCAAGACCAGCCTGGCCAACATGGTGAAACTCCATCTCTACTAAAAATACAAAAATTAGCCAGGCATGGTGGCGCATGCCTGTAGTTCCAGCTAATAAGGAGGCTGAGGCAGGAGAATCGCCTGAACCCTGGAGGCGGAGGTTGCAGTGAGCCGAGATTACACCACTGCACTACAATCTAGGTGACAGAGTGAGACTCCACCTCAAAAAAAAAAAAAAAAAAAGCACAATGACAATATTGAGTATGGAAGAGGTCAAACAAACAGAAACCTACAACTGGTAAAAAATAGAAAATTTTTCCTTCCATCAAATAAATAATTAATTCAGGCAAGAATTACCAGTGAATGAAAATTTGTTGGGGAAAAGATATTAAGAGTATCTCCCTACAGATTACTTATCACAAAGAGAAAAAGGTAGAAAAATTTGATGGATATCACCTTAACCAAGTAATCAGTGCTTAAATCACCAATAATGAGATAAATTAACACCATATGGCTCCTGATGTGACACACTGAGAGGGCACAGTATCACTTATGTAGCATTCCCGCTAATGTTTAACCTGAACCTAAGCATGTGGAAACAAACAGACAAATTCAAATTGAGGGGCATTCTACAAAACAGGCCTATACTCTTCATAAATTCTTTATCTTTCATGACAATGACAAGGCTGAGAAACTATATTTTATATTAAAGGATTGAATCTTAGATTTTTGAAAATTTCTATATACCACGTTATAGGGACAACTGGTAAAATGTGAATATAAACTATATGTGAGATAATTCAAGAAATTTAATTCAGGAAATTTATATTACTTAATATAGTATTTTATCAATACTAAATTTCCTGCATTTGATAACTGTCATCAAATCAAAAGAGAATGTACTTGTTCTTACAAGATACCTACTGATGTATTTAAGGGTGAAGGTTTATAAGATCTGCAACTTAACTCTCAAATGGTTCCACAAAAACAGTGACATCATTAACAAGAATGTTAATAAGAATACATGCATTCAGAGAAAAATGTGGCAAAATACTAACCGTGATCTCAATGAAAGGCATATCAGTAGGTGTTCTTGTATGAATACTATTCATATAACTTTTCTGTAGGTTTTAAGTTTTTCAAAGTAAAAAGGTGAAAAAGTAACATCACTTTGCATTGCATTTGAACCAAAGGATACTCACCTCTTCAATAGCAGCATCTTGCAGCAAAGAACGAATATCTAGACGCATCATGTGACGAGGTGCAGTTTCCCAGTGATCAGCCATCTATTGAAAAATTCAGATGGTTGAGTTATCTCTAGAAACTACTCAAAGACCAAGTAAGCATCCAAGATAAACAACATTTAACAATATTTTAAAATATTGTTAAATATTAATTAAATATTTGTTAAATATTAATTTAATATTGTAAAGTCTAATGGGCTAATTTCTTTTTTTTTTTGAGACAGAATCTCGGTCTGTCACCCAGGCTGGAGTGTAGTGGCGCCAACATGGCTCACTGCAGCCTTGACATGGTGGGCTCAAGTGATCTTCCCACTTCAGCCTCCCCAGTAGCTGGGACCACAGGCACATGACACCATGCCCAGCTAATTTTTGTATTTTTTTGTAGAGACAGGGTTTCGCCATGTTGCCCAGGTTGGTCTCAAACTCCCAGGCTCAAGCGATCCGCCCACCTCAGCCTCCCAAAGTGCTGGGATTACAGGCCTAAGCCACCATGCCAGGCCATAACAGGCTAATTTCAAGAAGAGCTAGGAAAAGAAACAAAGGAAGAGAAACATTTACTAAAGCAGATAGGAAAGTTATTATGAAAAAAAAAGGAGATAAACAAGAGCTTCCAGACAAGAGTGCTGATACAGATAATATGAGGTTTAGAGTACAGTCACACATCACTTAGCAATGGGCATATATTATGAGGAATGGGTCATTAGGCAATTTTGTCATTGTGTGAACATCATGGAGTATACTTACACAAACCTAGATGATAAAGCCTACTGCACATCTAGGTTACAAACTTGTACAGCATGTTAATGTACTGAATACTGTAGGCAACTGCAACACAATGAAGTATTTGTGTACTTAAACATATCTAAACACAGAAAAGGTACAATAAAAATACATTATAATCTTATGGGACCACCATATATGCAGTCCTTCCTTAACCAAAACATCATTATGCAGCGCATGATAGTACTCTATTATTCTATGTTTCTTAAAATCACCTTATTTATTTCTTTAAGCTTTCTTCCATGAATATTTCTCTTGCCACAAGTCTGGTTATCTGCACTCATTTCAGCCAAATATACCTAAGCAAGAATGAATAATAATTAGGCAAAGATATATAACATTTACATGACAACACAAAGTACTTTAAAGTTCTTTAAGCTTCTACCTCAAATCCCTTGGTTTTTGCTGCACTCCAAAACTGGTCAAAATGCCTAACTCTGTCATTGATGGCATCCAGGATGATGAAGGGAAAAAAGCCATCATCCAGAGTCTTTTTGAAAGTTTTGAACATGCTGGTGCGGTAAGTCTCCTCCATCTCAGCTTCATATTCATATTCCATTACCTAAGGTCCCCCAAAAGAGATATGGAATTAGCAAAAGCAAAGAATCATCCAAAACCTTTTCCTTGGTTAGTATTTGGATAGAGATGACTTTGTAGTCTTTCCTTCACACCCAAGTACTAAAGTACTGTGTTCGGAAAAGAGAGAGGTCCCTGCCCTCAAAAAAGCCACATTTCTCTCCAAACACATTTTCCTTTAAATACTATTAATGAATCAGAACGAGATCTGAGATGAATACCATACCTTCTTTTTCACTTTCTTTCCAGAATCTGGATCTTTTTCTTCTTTTTCCACTTCAGTGATGAAGTAATCATCCAGGCTTAGAACTCTGGGTGCAGGTCCTCCAAATTCTACCTCCTTATCCTAAGAATCATACAGTCAAGAAGGTTAAAACGAATTTATGGAATAAATTAATGTTCACACCAAAGTTCCCTCTTGTGGCTAAATAATATACAATCTTCTGGTGGTTTCAAATCAAGCAGAGGCAAAAATGTTTCTCTGAGTAGATAAAAATATATATGGGACAACATCTACCACATGGGCCAACTGTAATGGATCAAATGGAAGACAATTCTATTGGCATTATGTTGCTTGCTATTAATAAGAAGGCAAGTGACTACTAACACAAGCAGCACAAGCAGCTGATTTTTCAGCTTCCCCATACTCACTCGAATAAGTTTTGCAACATGTGTCTTTCCACTGCCAGGTAATCCTCTCATTATAACAACAATCTGAAACAGAATAGACCAAAAAAAAAAAAAAATCACTGAGAGAAAATTTTCTGCAATGAGATAACAGTTAACAATGACCTACCATTTTCCAGGATAGACTATACAACAGGCCATGAAACAAACCTTCATAAATTTGAAAGGACAGAAATAATATAAAGTATGTCACTGGACCACAGTGGAATGAAATTAGAAATTAATAGTAAGAAAAAATTAGAGAAACTCACAAATACGTGAAAACTAAACAACATACTCCTAAATAACCAATGAATCAAAGAAAAAATGAAGAGGAACCAGAAATCAAGAGGAGCCAGAAACCAGGAGGAACCAGAAAATACTCTGAGATGAATGAAAAAAACACAACACACCAAAGCTTACAGGATACAGCTAAAGCAGTGCTTAAAAGGAAATTGATAGCTATAAATGCCTATAGTAGGAAAGAAATAGGTCTCAAATCAATAACTTAACCATCCACTTTAAGACACTTGAAAAAGAAGAGCAAACTAAAGAAACAGAGGAAAGAAACAATAAAGATTAAAGCAGAAGTTAATAAAATAGAAAACAGAAAAACAAAAGAGAAAAAGTCAATAAAACCAAACGGTGGCAGTGGTTCTTTAAAAAGACCAACTTTTTTTTTTTTTTTTGAGATGGAGTCTTGCTCTGTTGCCCAGGCTGGAGTGCAGTGGTGCAATCTTGGCTCATCGCAACCTCTGCCTCCCAGGTTTGAGCGATTCTCATGCCTCAGCCTCCCAAGCAGCTGGGATTACAGGTGCCTGCCACCACGCCCGCCTAATTTTTGTGTTTTTAGTAGAGATGGGGTTTCACCGTGTTGACCAGGCTGGTCTTGAACTCCTAGCCTCAAGTGATCCGCCCACCTCAGCCTCCCAAAGTGCTGGGATGACAGGCATGAGCCACCACGCCTGACTAAGATCAACAAAATTGATGAACTCTTACCTAGGCTGAATAGAAAAAAAAGAAGATTCAAATTACCAGAATCAGAAATGAAAGCTGGGCTCAGTGGCATGTGCCTATAATCCCAGTTCCTCAGGAGGCTGAGGCAGGAGGGTCACTTGAGCCCAGGAGTGCAACCCCAGCCTGGGCAATAGTGAGACTCTGCCTCGAGTAAAAAAGAAATGAAGGAGGAGACATTACTACCAACCTTATAAAAAAGATTACAAAGGAATACTATGAACAATTGTATGCCAACAAATTAGATAATTTAGGTGAAACAGACAAATTCCTGGAAAGATGTAGACTACTAAAATTTACTCAAGAACAAATAAACAATCTGAATAGACCTATAACAAGTGAAGAATCTAAGACAATAATTTTAAAAAACTACACACAAAGAAAAGCCTAAGCCTGGATGACTTCATTACTGAATTCACCAAACATTTAAATACCGACTCTTCCCAAGGTCTTCAAAAACATAGAATAGGAAGGAATAATTTCTAACTTACTTTATGAGGCCAGCATTACACCAAACCACATACAGACAAGAAAACTACAATATCTCCTATGAATATGGATGCAAAAATCCTCAACAAAATATTAGCAAGCTGAATCCAGCAACATATAAAAATTATTACACACCATGATCAAGTGGGATTTATCCCAGGAATGCAAGTTAACATATGAAATCAATTAATGTAACACATCATATCAACAGACTAAAAACCAAAATCACACGATCATCTCAACTGACACAGAAAAAGCATTCAACAAATCCAACATCCTCTCATGATAAAAACATTCAACAAACTAGGAATAGAAGGGAACTTTCTCAACCTAATGAAGTGCATCTACAAAAAAATTCCACAGCTAATATCATTCTTCTTTTTTTTAAAGACGGAGTCTCGCTCTGTCGCCCAGGCTGGAGTGCAGTGGCGCGATCTTGGCTCACTGCAAGCTCCGCCTCCTGGGTTCATGCCATTCTCCTGCCTTAGCCTCCTGAGTAGCTGGGACTACAGGTGCCTGCCACCACGCCCAGCTAATTTTTTGTATTTTTAGTACAGACGGGGTTTCACCGTGTTAGCCAGGATGGTCTCAATCTCCTGACCTCATGATCCGCCCATCTCAGCCTCCCAAAGTGCTGGGATTACAGGCGTGAGCCACCACACCCAGCAACATCATTCTTAATGGTAAAAGATTGTATTTTTTTCTCTCTAAATCAGATACAAGACAAGAATGTCCACTCTTGCCATGTCTATTCAACACTGCATTGGAGGTTCTAGCCAGGGCAATTAGGCAAGAAATAAAAGGCATTCAATTCAGAAAGAAAGAAGTAAAAGTATATTTGCAGATGACATGATCTTATACATAGAAAACCTTAAGAATCAACTAAAAACCTACTAAAAGTAATAAATGAATTCAGTGGTATTGCAGGATACAAGACGAATAAACAAAAATAAACCATATTTCCATATATTTGCAAGGAACAATCCAAAAATGAAATTAAGCCATCAATAATAACTTTACTACAGGGTACTATGTTCACTTTTTGGGTGACAGGCTCTTTAGAAGCCCAAACTCCAGCATTACACAAAATACCTGTGTAATGAACCTGCACATGTATCCTGAATCCATAATTTAAAAAAAAAATGTGAATGTATTAAACAATCCAATCAAAAGGCAGAGATTTTCAGACTGCATTAAAAAACACGATCCGCTGTGTCCTACGGAGTCAGAAACAGGAATCTGAATTTCTAGAGTGATTAGGGAGTTACCCTTGCAAGGATGGTGAAGAAATGTCAGAAATAAAGGGAACCTGAATGGAAAAAAAAAAAGATCCAACCATAGGCATACTACAGGAGACACACTTTACATTAAAAGATACAAATAGAATGAAAGGAAGGAAATGGTAAAAGATTTATCATGCAAACAGCAACCACAGGAAAGGTCAAGTAGCTATATAGTAATAGTAGGCAAAAAGACTTTAAAACAACAATCTATTAATTCTGTATATATGGAATTAAAATATCTGGCTGAAATCTCCAGTACCAGTTAATTCAAATGGAGTCAGTCTAATTATTCTGTAATAAGACAAATTTAATAGAATGCGCACATTTGGAGGTCACTAGGAAATTAAGCCTAAGCTAATCAAGTCTCCTAATTCTCCCTTTCTATTCCACACACCATAAAACCAAATCCACTTTTCCTCTCTTCAACGCGCAATTAATTGAGGTCTCATTAATATGTTTTAAAATTCAACATCTTTTTTGCCAAGTACTTTAGTGCTAAATTCTTAAAGATTCTATAGTGTAGGCCATTTATGAGATTATATGGTGATTTAGAGATAGTAAAACGTCTTGAATCTGATATTATTACTATGTTGCAGAAAAATAAAGAAATTCTTTTCAGGATATTAACAAGATCTCTTATCTTCTGGTTTGCACGAAGACGAATCAACTTCATAGGACTCACTCTCTCAGGTCTGCTCTCCCGGCCCGGTGGTTTCAAAATATCGTCCACATTCTTTGATTCAGGCTTCTTCTCGACTCGTGGAGCTGGAGGAGGCTGGTGGCTCAGTGAAGGAGCTGGCAGAGGCATTCGCTCCTCAGGATAAGTCCTTCGTTCTCCTAGGATTCCAGCAGTTGAACAAAATTACTATTTGTAGAGTAATTATTTTGAAATTCAACTCTCCCCACACATCCTAAGGTAATATAATTCAAACCAAGTCCAGTGATTTTGGGGCCACTTTTAACTTTAATTAGAGAAAATTTAAGGTAATGTAAAATCTACTGAAGTCAAGAAAATGAGAAGATTTAAGTATGATTTCAGGCAAATAGAATGTTCTGCAAAACACTGAATTCATCCTTGTTTGTATTAAATGTAGGAAAGTTAAGCAACAGGACATGGAAGAATAATAAATGCTTTGCTGGATAGTCCTAAGTTCTGTAACTTCTGCTTTATGGTTTTAAGAGTAAGAGTTATACCATCTTAGGAGAGCCTGTTCCTAAAAATAGGTATGAGTTTCTAGTTTAAGTGTAAATCATAGCAGTGAAAAACTAAAAGCAACCTAAATAACTAAGAATAAGGGTCTTGGTCTTATATTTTATCCACTCAATGGAATGTCACAGAGCCATTAATAAAATAGGTTTACATATGAAAAATGTGTATGGTGCAATATCAATCAGAACAATCACGATAAAGAAATTGTATTATTATACTTTGATTACAACTTCATAAATATGTCTGTAAAGAGCGAATGAGAGGAAAGCTACAAAATTATAATAGCTGTAGTATGGTAGGTAGTGAGACTATCAGTAATTTTGATTCTACTTTGTTTTAAAAATAAACATGCTTTATTTCATTAATTACACTGCTATTTTTTAGGACAATGCCACCAGCTCTAAGAAATCTGTGAATACGTTTTACTCTAAAAGTTTAAATTCATAGCTACAATGGAAAGCATCTCCCATGCTTTACATTCTCAACATCCTTGTAGTTAATAAGGCATCACTCTACCTCCAAACATGGATGGTCCTTCATAGACTGGTCGGTCAGACTTCCGGTCATAGGATGGCCTATCAAAACCCCCTCTTCTGGATGAGGAATGGTCTTTTTTGTCTCGATATGACTGAGCTCTAGAAGGTGTAATAGGAAGCGCTTCAGCAAATAAAAAATATTTGGGGTTCTCTGCTTTATAACGCAACAGCATTAACTGCCCAATTTTCTCTATAGGAAGGTACTCCACACAGTAAATGTTTACTTTTTTTTTTTGAGATTGGGGTCTTACTTTGTCAACCAGGCTGGAATGCAGTGGCGTGATCTCGGCTCACTGCAGCCTTGATCTCCAGTGTTCAAGCAATCCTCCCATCTCAGCCTCCTGAGTAGCTGGGACTACAGGTGCACATAACCACACCCAGCCAACTTTTGTTATTTTTTGTAGAGATGGGGTTTCGCCATGTTGGCCAGGCTGGTCTTGAACTCCTGAGCTCAAGAGATCCACCTGCCTTGGCCTCCCAAAGTGCTAGGATTACAGGCGTGAGCCACTACGCCCGGCCAATATTTACATTTTGACTTTGCTTTTTCATTTAGATTTACTTTATATACATACATCTAAGAAGTTCATGGGAAAGCTGGGCATGATGGCTCACGCCTATAATCCCAGCACTTCGGAAGGCCGAGGCAGGTGGATCACTTGAGCTCAGAAGTTTGAGATCAGCCTGGGCAACATGGTGAAACCACATCGTCATCAAAAACAAAAAAAAAATTAGCCAGGCATGGTGGCACATGCCTGTGGCCCCAGCTACTCAGGAGACTGAGGTGGGAGGATCACTTGAGCCCAGGAGGTGGAGGCTGCAGTGAGCTGAGACTGCGCCACTGCATTCCAGCCTGGGTGACAGACTGAGAGAGACCCCGTCTCCATACAAAATAGTAATGAATAAATAAATAAATAGTTCATGGGCTTGCCCCCCTTTCCCTTTTCCTTGGCTGGCTGCCAGAATGCCCTTAGGTATAATAATAATAATAATAATAATAAATAAAAAGCTCATGAATTGCAAAAATAAATTGCTTGCCTACTGAGTATGACTGCACCTTTATTGACAATACCATTTCCATTCCCTTCTGGCTATCTCCATCTCCCATTTAATTCTCTGGAATTCAAGCTACCAAGTCAAGGACCTACTTTCCTGAAAACTGGTCCAGAATTGTTCTTCCCCCTCCAAATTACATATACACATGCATGAGAAGAATATGTTACTTATTAAATTTCTCTTAAACTTTTACTGTTAAGTATACAGTAATTTGTACACCTAGCAAAGATTGTTTTATAGCATACCTATCATCTCGGGGTCGGCGTTCTCTGTCAAATCGATCCCGGTCATAGTCAATAACACCACGATCCCGGTCTCGATCTCTATGTGTCTCACGATCCCTTTTAAAATCTCGATGATCTGCTATGACATTACTTTGACGATCAAAATAAGGCTCACGATCTCTTTCTCTATCATAACGATCACGTTGGCCTGCATGCTCTACAAAAACAATTAGTACAAAATAACTATATCCCTTTTATAGAAATAAAAGCAGAAAACTATAAATCTAACTTCAGAGCTGGTATAAATTTTTGCCATAAATTCAACTAAGAATCTTTTAGCTGTATTAAATGGAGGCTCAGATAATCTCACCAAAAGGAAAATCATGTGATAATTAGGCCCTAAAATGTTTAAAAATACTGACCTCTCTGGGAATCCTACCTGTCTCAAAAGTTGATCTTTCAGGTAGTGGATCTGGGCGTAGAGTTATTCTTTCTCCATAAGGTATCTGTTCAACTTTATTAGTGGATATATCTGGTAAACAAAATCAGAGATAAAGTACTGTAAGAGTGAAGCTAGAGAAAGCTAAAGCTGAAGCTAACAATTCCTGTAGAATCCCAAATACAAGTGCACTATCATTACTCACCTCGGCCATGGCCATAATCAACAGTCTGTTGTACTGGTGGTGGCTTGGACATTGGTGGCATACCCATAGGCACTGGGCCAGGAGGGGGAATGGAAGAGTGAACAGGTGGGGGTGGTAATACTGGAGCAGATGGAATTGCTGCAGTTTCTGACTTAAATTCTGAATTCAGTCCTTGTTCATCATTTGTATCCCAGAGCCCATAGAAAGAATCTTCATCCCATCGTTCCTGTTCTACAGCTGAAGTTTGTGGCTTTATCACTGGAGGAGGAGGAGGTAGAGGTGGAGGAGGTGGAGGTGGTGGTATTGGGACAGGTGGCCTGGTCACAGGAACAGATGATCTTGCTGGTGGAGCAGAGGGTCTTACAATTGAACCTGGTGGTTTGCCCATAGGAGGGGGAGGTCTATACGACCCTGGAGGCTAGAGAACAGAATAAATAGCTTAGTGGACAAGTATACCACTATGTTTTTATAGATCAGTGGAAATTAAAATCTGGTTCTCAATTTATAAGAAAAAAGTTAACACCTTGGACTCATTCAAAATTTCGTGCTTCAAAACATACCATCAAAAAAAATGAGGACAAGCCACAGAAAGGGAGAAAACATAGGCAAATCTTATATTTGATAAAGAACTTGAATTCAGAATATACAAAACACTTAAACTCGGTAAGACAAATCATAAAAAAAAAAAAACTATGGCCAAAAGATGAGAATAGATATTTCTCCAAAGAAAATATATAAATGCCCAATAAGCACATGAAAAGATGCTCACCATCATTAGTCATTAGGGAAACACAAATTAAAATCCCAATGAGATACCATTTTCATATGCACTGGAATGGTTATAATTAATAAGACAGACAAAAACAAATGATGGCAAGGATATAGGAAAGAAAAACCCTTTTAGATTGTTAGTGGGAATAAATGGTGCCACTATAGAAAATGCTTTGCCAATTTCTCTCAAAAAGTCAAACACAATTTTTTTTTTTTTTTTTTGAGACGGAGTTTCACTCTTGTTGCTCAGGCTGGACTGCAATGGCGCGATCTCAGCTCACTGCCACCTCTGCCTCCCAGGTTCAAGTGATTCTCCTGCCTCAGCCTTCTGAGTAACTGGGATTACAGGCACCCGCCACCACGCCCAGCTGATTTTTTGTATTTTTAGTAGAGATGGGGTTTCACTATGTTGGTCAGGCTGGTCTCGAACTCCTGACCTCAGGCGATCCACCCACCTCAGCCTCCCAAAATGCTGGGATTACAGGCATGAGCCACCGCACCCGGCCAAACATAAATTTATCATATGGCTCAGCAATTTCATTTCTCGGTATCTATCCAAGAAAAATAAAAACATATGTCCATCCAAAGACTTGCACACAAACATTCATAGCCGTACTATTCAACAACCCTAATGTCCAACAACTGGTGAATGGTTAAACAAAATGTGGTATATTCATGTAACAGGTTATAAATAAAAAGAAATTTAAAAAGCAGTAAAAAGAAATGAAGTACTGAGTCATGCTACAACATGGGTAAACTTTGAAAAGAAGATAGACACAAAAGACTACATATTATATAATTCATTTATACAAAATGCCCAGAAAGGCAAATCTATATAGACAGAAAGTGCTGGGACTGGGGTAGGAATGAGGATTAACTAACTGTAAACTGGTGCAGTGATCTTACAGGGGTAATGAAAACGTTTTAAAATTTCCATACTCCAAATTAGGGTGGTAGCCACGTAAGATTCAAATGTCCCAGGCCAATACCAAATCTACTGAACTTCTGTAGGTGGGGTCCCACCAGTAATTCAAAATTTTAAAAAAACCCTCCATGAATAATTCTGATTTATAACCCTCGGTTAAGAACTATCTTCCTATGCTCAGTGTGCAGGAAGGAGAGAAATGAATAAATAAATAAGAACTATCTTCCTACTCTAGAGACCTATCTCCTCCACAAAAACAGTAAATTTTCAGTGAGAGAAATCCTAGATAGCCTCCACACTTCTGTTCCTTTCAGTTATCTGGTTGACAATAGTCATCTGTGGTGAAGCTGAGACCAACAGAGAACATGAGTACTATGAAACAACAAAATAAACTAAATGAACATCTAGTAATCTAAGGAGTGCCACTGTTGTGTGCCCTCCTTCCATTTGTTTTCCCAAAGCATCACCAGTTACCATCAGAAATGTCTATGATGGAGATGGTAGGACTTCTTAGCAAATTGGTCCTATCTACTCAATATTGAAACCCAGTTGCCAAATACATTTTATTTTTATTCTTTCTTTGGTAAAGACGGGGTCTTGCTATGTTGCCCAGGCTGGTCTTGAACTCCAGGCCTCAAGTAATCTTCTCGCTTCAGCCTCCCAAAGTGCTGGGATTACAGGTGTGAGCCACCATGCCTAGTCTCTATTTTAATCTTTGTAAGTGTGATTCAAACACTTACTTCCCATTTCTTAGTTCACTGTGTCTGGCTGGTTTGGTTTTATTTTTTTGTTTTTTGTTTTGTTTTGGTTTTTTACTTCTCTGTTATTCTAGGATGTTTTTTCTTTATTGACGCTATTTTAGATCCTGGAGAGCCCACAATATACATTATTTATATATTTGCCCATATATACACAGTACTTTAAAAATAAACTTTCTGAATAATAAAATGGAGTTGACTAATACAGAAGGAACATTATTTGACTGGAGGTAACTACTGGCTACAGTTAAAGACAAATGGCTATTACCTAAAGGTAAACTTTTAAAGTATGGCATGGTAAACTTTGTCAAGAAAATGCCAATATAGGATGAAGCTATTCAGTCTGGGTAGATCTATCAAGACAAGTTTTAAATATCTTAAGATCTCATAGATGTATACTTATAAATTTTTTAAAAACTGCTTTCTTCATTCTATATAGTGAAAGTAAAAGATACATTTTTTAAAATTATTGTTTATATGAGAAAGGGTTAATATCTATATTATATTAAGGATAATGAGTTAATTTAAAAAAAAAAAACCTGACTCAAACAGATAAATGGGTGAAGGACACAAACAGAATTTCTGTAAGAGGAAAGTATAATTAACAAATATGGGAAAATATTCATGTTCACTAGTAATCAAAAATGCTGTATTAAAATTATTAAATATACCAAAAATATTAAGTAGCTAATGCTTACGAGGCTATAGTATAGATGTTATACAATTATTTTTTTTCATTTATTTATTTATATATTTTTTTGAGACAGAGTCTCACTCTTGTTGCCCAGGCTGGAGCGCAGTGGCGCTATGTGCAACCTCTACCTCTCAGGTTCAAGCAATTCTCCTGCCTCAGTCTCCCTAGTAGCTGGGATTACAGGTGCGCACCACCTGGCGCGTGCCTGGCTAATTTTTGTATTTTTAGTAGAGGCGAGGGTTCACCATGTTGGCCAAGCTGGTCTTGAACTCCTGACCTCAGGTGATGCACTTGAGACAGAGTCTTGATCTGTCACCCAGGCTGGAGTGCAGTGGTGCAATCTTGGCTCACTGCAACCTCTGCCTCCCAGGTTCAAGCGATTCTCCTGCCTCAGCCTCACCTGTAACTAGGATTACAGGCACATGCCACCAAGCCCAGCTGATTTTTATATTTTTAGTAGAGACGGGGTTTCACCATGTTGGCCAGGCTGGTCTGGAACTCCTGACCTCTTGTGATCCACCTGCCTTGGCCTCCCAAAGTGCTGGCATTGCAGGCATGAGCCACCACACCCGGCCATTATACAACTATTATAGAGAGCTGTTTGGCTATGTGACAGGAATCATTTAAAAAGTATGCTTATTCTGGGCCAGGTGTGGTGGCTCATGCCTGTAATCCTAGCACTTTGGGAGGCTGAGGCAGGTGGATCACCTGAGGTCAGGAGTTCAAAACCAGCCTGGCCAACATGGTGAAACCCTATCTCTATTAAAAATACAAAAAAAATGAGCCAGGAATGGTGGCAGGCACCTGTAATCCCAGCTACTCAGGAGGATGAGGCAGGAGAATCACTTGAACCCGGGAGGTGGATATTACAGTGAGCTGAGATTGTGCCACTGCACTCCAGCCTGGGTGACAGACTACATTCCGTTTCAAAAAAAAAAAAAAAAAGTATGCTTATTCTTTGACTGAAGTGTCCCACTTTGGGACGTTAAAATCACTGTTGGCTGGGTGCAGGGGCTCACACCTGTAATCCCAGCACTCTGGGAGGACAAGGCATGAGGATCACTTAAGCCCAGGAGTTCGAGACCAGCCTGGGCAACAACGCGAGACCCTGTCCCTACTAACAATTTTTTTTTTTTATTATTAGCCAGGCGTAGGGTGTGTGCCTGTAGTCCCAGTTACTCAGGAGGCTGAGGTGAGAGAATCACTTGAGCCCAGGAGTTTGAGGCTCCAGTGAGCTATGATTGTACCACTGTATTCCAGCCTCCCAGGCAACAGAGCAAAAAAAAAGAGACAAAACAAAAACATAAAACTTACTCCTAAGAAGTTATTGGCCGGGTGCGGTGGTTCATGCCTGTAATCCCAGCACTTTCGGAGGCTGAGGCAGGTGGATCACCTGAGGTCAGGAGTTCAAGACCAGCCTGGCCAATTGGTAAAACCCTGTCTCTACTAAAAATACAAAAAATTTAGCCAGGTGTGGTGCCAGGCACCTGTAATCCCAGCTACTTGGGAGGCTGAGGCAGGAGAATCGCTTAAACCCAAGAGGTGGAGGTTTCGGTGAGCTGAAATCATGCCACTGCACTCCAGCCTGGACAACAGAGTGAGACTCCATTTCAAAAAAAAAAAAAAGGAAAAAAGAAAAGGAGTTATCTAAAATAAGAACCCAATACAAAGACATTCATTAGGGTAATATTAAGAATAACAGTGAAAGATTAGAAACAAATTCCAACAGAAATTGAATTAATTCAATAAATTATTGTAAATCAAAAAATAATATAGCATATAACAATATGGAAAGATGATTATGATTTGTTAAGCAAATAAAGCAGAAATGTGGATGTACAATCTGGCGCTTCTATTTACTAAGACACACAAAGATGAAAGATATAGTTATTATCTTATGGACTCAATTTAGAAAGAAAGACAAGAAAACAGACACTCAAAATGCAACATAATAAAGATGACAACAAAGACTAGTACAAGATGTTACAGGGTATGTACAAGGGTAATTGCCCTACATAGGTGGAAGAGAAAATAGTAGAGCTGAGTTGTAAAAGATAAACAAACATTAGCCAGTTGCAGGAGGGGATGGGAAGGCAAAGAAAAGACTCTAGGCTTAGAGAACAACATGCATACGCAAAGGAATGAAGAAGTAAAAGAATCTAGCACATTCACAAAATTGTTAAGTAGCTCTATGTGGAGGGAAAATGAAGCATCAGAGAGTGGAGTAGCAAGCAATGGTCAGCAGAGGTCAGGCCAGCTCAGGAAGAACAAGAAAGTCATGCAAGAGATTCTAAATTTCATCCTGAAGGCATGGGAGAACATTGAAGTTTTAAAGCCAGGTAGCCACATGGTGAGATTTGTTTTAAAATGTCCATCTGGCCACAAATCACATCGACGCTGCCTGAAGTGGAGTATAGGGGTAGTCCCAATCTCAAAAGGGCATGAGAGAACTTTTTAGGGTGATGAGAATTTTGTTTTGTTTTGTTTTGATTTTGAGATGGAGTTTCGCCCGTTGCCCAGGCTGGAGTGCAATGGCGCGATGTCGGCTCACCGCAACCTCTACCTCCCGGGTTCAAGTGATTCTCCTGCCTCGGCCTCCTTAGTAGCTGGGATTACAGGCATGCGCCACCACGCCCGGCTAATTTTGTACTTTTAGTAGAGACGGGGTTTCTCCAAGTTGGTCAGGCTCATCTCAAACTCCCGACCTCAAGTGATCCACCCGCCTTGGCCTCCCAAAGTGCTGGGATTACAGGTGTGAGCCACCGCGCCTGGCCGAGAATTTTTTTATCTTTTGGTATACATCTGTCAAAACTCGAACTATAGGCTTAAAATGGGTGTAATTATACTTGAGAATTTGATTCAAAGGAGGTAAAATCAATCAGCAGCAGGGTAGGACAAATCAGCAAGATGGAGCAAGATGGAGGGTTGATTTTCAGGTTTCAAGTTAGGGTGACTAGGTGATGGTGAGGAAAAAAGACAATTTAATGGGGTATGATAACGAGCCCCATTTTGAATATGCTGCATTTGACAGGAGTCACATCCACAGACAGAAACCCTGCAGACAGGTAGATGCGTACAAAGGTCAGGAGATCCGATCTGGGGAGTCAACAACACCATGGTGGTCACTGATGTCAACAACTATGTCTTACTGTTAAGTATTAGACCAGGATGGAAGGGAACACTGAGAAATGAAAAGTGTTAATTTGATGAAATGGTTCAGTAGAGGTTCAGTAGAGCTGTTTTCTTCATTATGCTGTCATAAAACTACCTGCAAGATAACATTTTAAACATTTGAAAAGCCCATTACTGGCTTAAAGGTAAAATAACAAAAATAAAAGAAGTCCTGGCATGCTCTTGGGAAAAAAAGGAGAACTTAATTACTCAAGTCTTTAACATAAACACCCCTTTTCATACTGCCTGAACAGTTCTGAAGTATGTACTGGGGTATGACATTTCCCCATCTGAAGGACTAGTAGCCTGAAGAGGTAGGAAGCATCACGAGGCCCACATCTAGCCCTGCCTAGATGGAAAACAGGACTTTTTTTTTTTTTTGGTAGAGATAGGGGTCTCACCATTTTGCGAAGGCTGGTGTCAAACTCCTGGGCTCAAGCAATCCTCTCGCCTTAGCCTCCCAAAGTGCTAGAATTACAGGTGTGAGCCACTATGCCCAGCCAACAGGACTATTTTAACATAAAAATTATTAGAAAAATTCTACCATTTTGTGAACAGAAGCTATGTAGTTCAGGTGTACTTGGTGTACTTATCAAAATCTGGGGAAAAGGAGCATCTCTACCACACTTTTGAACATGCTTTTAAGGTGTTCAAAGTTCAATTACCATAAACTTTTAAGTTTCCAAAATTTACATTTTATAGAGGAAATTTGTTATTTATTCAACTTCTAAAAAAAATCAAACAACATAGAAACATACAAAGTAGAAACCATTTCATTTTCTGAGCACACATTCTCCCATACCGGATACATTCCAGGTCTTGAAGATGTATTCTGCAATCTTGATTCCTGAGGTGGTAGATGGTCAGCCATCTGTGGCTCAGACCCGAAGTCTTTCATCTTTTGAAGCTGTTCTTTCTGTTCCCTGCAAACAAATAAAATTGACATAGTACATAAAGCATGCTTATTCCATTCCTAAGTGACTACAATTAATATTTAATTAAAAAAAGGAGACCTAAAAAATCCTTGTCCTAAAATTCTCTGCAGTGGCCATACACTGAGCAGCTCCAGGATTACCCTCTTTTGCTTTTATGTAGCTAACTCATCAGTCATTTAAGACATATAAATAATTATAAATTATTGAAGATATTCAAGAATAGATTCTACAACCTGCCTCAGTTGTTTTCTACTATCTCATCTACTTGTTATGTTTTTCTTTAATCCAACCAAAAGCTCTCTTGCTATTTTTTTTTTTTTTTTTTTGAGACAGAGTCTCACTCTGTCGCCTGGGCTGGAGTGCAATGGCGCGATCTCAGCTCACTACAACCTCTGCCTCCCGGGTTCAAGTGATTCTCCTGCCTCAGCCTCCCGAGTAGCTGGGTCTACAGGCATGCACCACCGCGCCCGGCTAATTATTTGTATTTTTTTAGTAGAGACGGGGTTTCACTATATTGGCCAGGCTGGTCTCGAACTCCTGACCTCATGATCCGCCTGCCTCAGCTTCCCAAAGTGCTAGGATTACAGGCGTAAGCCACCACGCCCGGCCTATTTTTTTCAACTCTTTAGACCAGAGGTTGCAAAATGGTGGCCCATGGGCCAAATATGGCCTAAAAAGGTTTTCAAAATGTGGCTTTCACATCAGTTTTTAAAATTTGAAATTAGCTGTCATATTTACAAAGCAAAATATTTCATATATAAATTCAAATCTTAAAGAGATATGGTAACACCAGGCCTACATTCCCACATGCCAACAATCAGCTGAGTGCAGTAGAGGCTGCCCATGTTAGATGAAACAACCTGTCACAATCTTCACCGTACTCTACAGAGTTATACTTGGCCCACTTTCACTCATTTTTGTTATCTGATTCTTGGGGACATTTTAATTTATGGCCCCTGCTGTAGATGGTGAGAACAACTGTCAGTCTATACCTTTAAAAACAACATTTCATATTCCTGAAGATAATTATGTAATCCTTCGGTTTTTTCTTTAAACTGACGAAATTCCTTTTACTTTTTTTCACAATGCCTACCTTAAACATAGGTAAAATCCACTACAATTTCTTAAGACCTTTTACAATTTTCTCCTTACATTAAAGTGACCCAAATGAGGGTCCACAAATGAGGGACCACAAAGTAAGGGTCAAGTGTGTAAGATTATTTACTGCTCAGGTAAATCCCATCATCACATCCCTTATGATACTCCTTACGACTTTACACTGACACAACATAAACGACTTGTATTCGGCTATGACATTATCCATCACTCCCTATATATTGTTTAATTATGTTCATGTTGCCTAGAAAGCTTTAAAAAAGGATGAAGCAGCAGCAGCACCTTTTATCCAGCATTACCATGCAAAGCAATAACGAATTAAAAAGAAATTTAAAAAGGAAAAAAAAAGAAACCTTGGCAGCTTAACAACACCAATCAGCTTGGTATTCTCCATAAATAACACAGATTTTAGAGTTTTAGACAGATTGAGTTCAAAGGCCGGGTTTGCCACTTACTAGCCAAGGGAACTTAACCTCTTTGAACTTTAGTGTCATTTGTGAAGTGGGGATAATACTACCTTATCTTTGCAGGCCTTTGAGATAGACAGACTGACATAATATACACTCAATTATTAGCAAGTGCCCAGTTACACGGTAGGTGTTAAAATTAAAGGTGTCTATAACTTAAAAGTGAATAGTGTAGTAGCTAAATATTCTATAGCATGCTTTCCACATTTTCTTCATGAGTAATCTGGAAAAAATAAACCTCTTAGCTATAGACCATACAAACCTGCCGTATCTGGTCTTTCATCATTACCTTTTCTTCACCGTATTTTTCTTTCCTAGTTCTAAAGTTTAAGTTATAATTTATTGTTAAGATCCACAAATGTAAACCAGAATTGAAAAATGGAAGAAATACATTGGAATTTATCAAAACCTAATCATTAATTGACTTTCTCAAAAAAATTGCTTTAAAAAAGTTTTCAATCTGTCACTGACTTCTAAATTCCTATCCCAAGATACAGCTGGTTTAAGGATTAAATGAGTTTATTATACACAACACACTTAGTACAGTTCCTGGCCCGGAGTAAGCATGCAATAAATGTTAGCTTTTGTTATTGTTGTTACCACAAGAAAAGAGGAAAATTATGTAGATACCTATACACAGTTGATTGTAAGTCAAGAAATCCTATTTTCCATTTCACAAAGAAAACATTTGGTTATGTAGAAACAAATAACATCCTCAAGGAGAAATATCTGCTTTTAGTTATAATGAAAGATAAAACATCCCCAAAAGAAAGTATCAATAGTTAAGACAAATCTGAGGATGCTCCTAAGCAAACCATTCTTAGCTTCAACAAAGAAAAATACAGCACTTTCCAAAGTTTTATCAATGATTAGTGAATATAAAGTCTATCAGATCTAATACCAAAGAACAAACTGATTACTGGAAAAAATGAAGGTTACACATGAACCCTGTGAAATCCAGAGCACTGAAAAGTTGAAGTTTGACACTTGAAACATGCACAGGCATGGCATGCCAGCAACACTTCTACAAAGGCCAAGACAGCAATCAATTTTCACATCTTAGGGCATAAGTTTATCATTAACACAGTTCCTAAATACCCATTCTAACCCTAAAACAGCACTGAATGACCAGAAATATAAATTAAAAGTATGTGATAAGAACTTGAAGTAAAATGATTCCATTCAAATATATCATATCACTTTAAAAAGAGCAGTCTGAATGTGGTTTTTATTAAAAGAAAGGATCTGAAGGAGTCAACTTACCGAAGCATTTTCAGTTCTTGTGCAGCTTTCAAAATGATTTCATGCTGCCTCTGACTGAGAACCATTACCCCTCCAAGGCCTTGGTCAGAGTCTAAGCTTGCATCGGACCCCATCATTTCTGAGGAATGATGTGAGGAGGGCATATGTTCCGCCATGGGGGAATGTCTATCCACATCAGATGGGTACCATCTGTCTGACAACCGTTCTCTTTCCCAGTCCATTCTGTCAGGAACATAATCTCGCTTTTCCCGCCATGTATCTCCTCTTTCTGGATACTCTCGAATCCTCAACTCACCCCTATCACGGAAATCTCGATCATACCCATGCTCTCGATTTCTTTCTTCTCTCCATCTATCATCCCGATATCTATCCAAAGGTGGAAGAGGTGGGAGGGGCGGTAAAGGTGGAAGAGATGGAATATCCCGTTCACGAAACTGTGATTCTTGTTCATCCAGTGGTCTCCCATAATCTCTGTCCCACTCATTATCCAAACTTCTATCATACATATCCATAGGTCTTGAAATCCGATCCACATCCCTGTCCATGTCCCTTTCCATTTCCCTATTGTAGTCCTCATCCATATCCTGGTCTCTCTCCCAATCATCCCACCAAGGGCCTCGCCTATCTCCATCATGAGACCGAGATGGTGGTGCTGAGAACCTGTCCTCTCTGTTATAGAGCTCTAGTGTATCATCTTGATAGTCACGTTCACATTCTCTCCAGTATCTCTCTCTATCCCAGTCATCGAGTCTTTCTCGTTCCATTGGAGCATTTCTACCATCTAATGGAAACTCTTCATGCCCTCGCTCTTCTCCATGGTTCCATGGAGCCCTAGGAGGCTCATCCCGGTGATATGGATACATTTTTTCCCCACCATCTCCTGGTTCTGGTCTGAATGGACCTCTATCACGACCAAAATCTGATCTTCCCAGTCCCCTTTCTCGACTGCCAGGCCCTCGAGGTGGTCCTCTCTCCCTGCTCCCAGCTCTTCGGGGTGGTATTCTCTCTCTACTCCCAGCCCTTCGAAGAGGTCCCCTCTCCTGACTGCCAGCCCTCCGAGGTGGTCCCCTTTCTCGGCTGCCAGCTGCACCCCTGTCCTGGCTCCCTTGAAGACCACCTGGCACTTTCTCCCGACTGCTTCCAGGCCTCACCAACCCTCTGTCCCGGCTACCTTCTCCTCTGTTCATCTTCTCTCGACTATCTTCTCTTCTACCCATCATCTTATCCCGAAAGTCTTCTTGCTTGACCAATCCTGGGCCTCGACTGATTGCCTGGCCGCGACCTCTGTTTACTAGACCTTTATCCCGTGTGTCTTCCATTCTGCTTTGCCCAGGACCTCTGTAAGATGAGCTGTTGCCTCTATTGCCTTCTAATCTATTATCTCTATTATCTGGCCGAGGCAGGCCTTTATCTTGGTTGTTTTCTGAATGGGGTAGACCAATACCCACAGGTTTAAAATCATTATCTGCTGTTAATGATGATGTTGCTACTGCTGTTCCTCCCTCCATCCCCCCTGTTTTTGAAGGAAAAGTAGATTGAGCAGGTACAGGCTTATTCGCAAGGGGTACAGGCTGAGTAACAGCTTGGGCTTTGTCGATTTGAGTCTCCATACTTTGAACATTCTGGTCCCAATTAGAGGGCTCTACGGGCCCTTCCGAGACTTCACTTTTAGGTGGCTCTTGTTGAGAGTCGCTTAGATTCTCATTTGACTGAGCCGCCTTGACATCCTTTACATCTGCAGCAATGGAAAATGCAGCTGATTGCATTTTAAAATTCTTCTGCTGGTTACTACTGGTGTCTGCTAATGGTTCTTTGTTTCCTGAAAGAGGTTCTGCTTGTGACTTAGGTTGCTGCTGATGCTGCTGTCCAAAAGCTGGTTTGGGGCCTTTCCACTGTGGTCCACTCTGTCGAGGACTTAGGGATGTACTGGGGGTAATATAAAATTGAGATGCTGGCCCCCGGGGAATCATTCCCCACTTGCTTTTAGTGCCCTCTGCTGGGTGACCTTCATATCTGGGTCTTGGCCCATCGGGGCGATTTCCTTCAAAACGAGGCCCTTTGGGTCTCGGTCCTTCACACCTTGACCCTAAATCCTCAAATCTTCGAGGACCATCAAATCTACAAGTAAAACAAAAGATATTACTCAAGACAGTAAAGCAGAAAAAAAAAATTCTCCATGTAAGAATATTTAAGGCACTCTTGCCTTAGAATTTGTTTACAACAATGACTCTTTTCAGTCATTAAATTAATCCTGAGTCACCAATATCTTAGAACCAGTATGTTAAGGTGGCAGTGCTCAGAAGGTCTTAGGACAGGCTTTGGAAATCATGTCAGTATTATCTAACTTACTTCAACACATCTCCTGCCGCAAGTCACTGATATACTGAACGGTTAAAAAGCAATTACAGGCCTGGCGCAGTGGCTCACACTTGTAATCACAGCACTTTGGGAGGCAGAGATGGGCAGATCACCTGAGATCAAGAGTTCAAGACCAGCCTGGCCAACATGGTGAAACCCTATCTCTACTAAAAAAAAAAAAAAAAAAAAAATACAAAAATTTAGCCAGGTGTGGTGGCAGGTGCCTGCAAATCCCAGCTGCTTGGGAGGCTGAGGCAGGAGAATCACTTGAACCTGGGAGGCAGAGGTTGCAGTGAGCTGAGATCACGCTATTGCACTCTAGACTGGGTGACAAGAGTGAGACTCCGTCTCAAAAAAAAAAAAAAAAAAAAGCAATTATAAATACTGTGCCTTAGGAGACAGAAAAGGCTGCTCATTTTAAAGAGAAAAAAATTAACAAATTCCATAACTAACTCTGAGCACTTCTGGAATTAAATTGTAACTAAAAACTAAATATGAAAAGACTAACAAGAAAATATAGGATGATTATAAATATTGTTAGAGCTAGCACTAACATTTTGATTGACAAAAGTTAAAAAAAAAAAAAAAAGAAACAGTAGCCCTATCTTAAGAGTAGGTTCTGACATTTTAAAAAGTCTGCACAGTTATTTTTGCTATAAACCCACTTGCTCATCCAGTAAAAAGAAAGTACACATCCTTTATCTGTCAGGCATTACATTACATCCAAGAGATACAAGAATAAAATGTCATATGTGCCCTCAAAGAGTTTACAACAAAATATAAAGATAATCTAAGTGTAAATAAGTACCAAGAGATGTAATGTCTCAAGTCTATGTGTACACAATAAGGAAAACAGAATTGGAGAGGCTTATGTTGAGTTTTAAAAGACAACTTCTCTGAAATCAAGCTGACAGAATGAGTTGGAGATGAGGAAAGTATGTGGCAAGGGCACCTCAAGCTAAGGAAGCAAGAGGAAAGGCGGAGAAACGTGTATCAGCAGAGCATGTTTGGAAGTGCAAATAGTTTAGCATGGCTAATGCAAAGGGGAAACAGAGTCAAGAGAGCTGATAAAGAGGGAAATGTGGAAAAGCAGCACACTAAAAAATAAGGTAAAGAAGTAAGCGAGGATCACTCTCCAGAAGATTGTGTATGCCTCATGTGGCAGAGACTACTGGTGGTCTTCCAATACCCATTCCCCACTTATCTACAATAACAGGCCTCCTGTAGCTAGACACAAGGCCCCCCAGACAAGACTCTCTTTCTCAATATCTCTTGCAGCTAGAACTGGCAGCCAAGTTCTGGCCAAGGAGCTGAGAGTGAAAATGATTTGCACATCTTCTGGGTTGTCCCCTTAAAGGAAAGGGCACATCCTCCTCTTCTCCATTTCCTTTTTCATGCTGGTTCTGACATGGTGGTGAAATATCCAAGACCAGGTAAATCAGAAGGAACTGGATTCCTGAACCATCACCTAAGTCCTAAGAGAGAATAAACTTCTAACTTGTTAAAGCCATCTGACTTGGATCTCGATTATAACAGATAAATTAATTCAGCTGGTTAAGGAGTTTGGTGTTACCTTATAAGCACTTAGAGCCACTAAATATAGTCTGATTTTTAAAAGATTGCTTTAGCAGAAAAATAGTGGACAGAGACAAAAAGTTTAAAGATCATCTTTACAATTTGGGTAAGTGAAGGTGATGCCTAGTCTAAGGCAGTGACTGATATGAGAATGTAGAGGAGGGGATAAAAGTGAGAGATGTAAAATAAGGTAGAATTGATAGGATTTTGTCACCAGTAGAAATAAAATGATAGTTGTAAGGGAAGAATTTAAGATGATTCCAAGGTTTCTGGCTTAGGTGACTGAGTAGTAGACAGTGATGCCTTTCATGACTTTTAATGAGTGCTAGGAGGCTTTTTCTTTCATTTCTTTGGGAAATCAATGAAGACTAATAAATTCAGTGTTGGCAAAATATTTATTTCCTATCCCTGTGACTTTAGGCTTTGTTGTTCTAAAAGTCTAGTTTCAAAGAGACGAACACATCCACTAGGGGACACAACAAATGATTCCACTAACCTGAAGTTGAGACCCCAACTTTACTCTGAAGTTCCAAATCAAGAGGCAATGGAGAGGGTTACTGTATTCACTGGGGATAACTGACCCTAACTTTCAAGAGGAATTTGAGTGACTATTGCACAATACAGGTGAAGTGAAGTGTGTCTGAAATGCAAGAGATCCTCTAGGACATCTCTTAGTATTTCCCATGTCCTGAGATTCAAGTCCACGGAAAATTGCAAAGGGTTTTGTAGAACTGCAAACAGCAGAAGTAATTCAGAAAGAACTGCTAATAGCCCATATCTTTCAAGAATGAAAGCCTGGGTCACCCCATGAGGCAAGGAATCCGAACTGGCTGAAGTACTTACTTAGAGCAAAGGGAATATGGAATGAGTAGTGGAAGAACATATATACCAGCTATGACCACATGACCATTGCAGAAATATGGACTACAATAGTTACAAATATTTCTTCCTTAATTTGATATATTTGTGTTTAAATATGTGTGTGTGTGTGTGTGTGTGTATTAACCAAATATTTTTTGGTTCATTAGTTTTCTTCCTTATTATCTAACATGTGTTAATAAGAGTTAACCTTATATTTCAGTATTTAAGTTACAGAACATGAAAGAGGGAGTGTGAATCAGGTGGAGAAGGATGAACTAATATTATCTTAAAGACAAAAAAAAAAGACTTTGTGTGCTTTTCTGGGGAAAGAGAATGTTTTTGGTTGTCCAGCAATAAATGTCTCATGTTAGGTGTGAAAATCTCCCTGTGACCCAACCTAATCAGAAACATATGGGAAAGACTGCCAGGCACGGTGGCTCACGCCTGTAATCCCAGCACTTTGGGACGCGGAGGCGAGTGGATCACTTGAGGTCAGGAGTTAGAGACCAGCCTGGCCAACATGGTGAAACCCTGTCTCTACTAATAGAAAACTTAAGCTGGGCATGGTGGCGTGTGCCTATAATCCCAGCTACTCGGAAGGCAGAGGTAGGAGAATCACTTGAACCCAAGAGGTGGAGAATGCAGTGAGCCTGAGGTGGTGCCACTGCACTCCAGCCTGGGTGACAAAGTGAGACTTTGTCTCAAAAAAAAAAGAGAGAGAAAGGGAATTTTGGGAAATGGAGTTTAGCTCAGCCAAGTTGACCTTTTACAAACCCATTGCAAGGAACTCAAAAATACACAAACCCATAATAAACAGAGAGAGGAGGTAATCAGAAGATGAAAATCTTGTTTGTACATTCTGAAAGACAAAGAACAAATATGAGTGGTAACTTACAGAGCAGGAAGAAACCAGTTTAGAGTACTGATGGCAGAAAGGGATAAAATCAAAAGAAGGCTGGCTTGCCCAGAGAACCTCAGAGAAGGTCAGGATTCTCAGACACTAGGGGGTGCTAGGGAAGGAAAGGAGTAAAACTTGGGGCTAAAAATACGTAAATCTATATTCGGAACCATCAACCAGCCTTTCCTTAGGCTGAATGTCTCTTAAATCCTTGAATTTGAGAGTCCCCTAGCAGTAGTAACAGTTCCTTACCCTATTCACATAAAGCAGAAACCTGACAGGTAACAAGCCCCTCTCATATACACAGAGCTCCCAATCAGTTTGTCAGTGTCTTCCATGCTTAAACATAAATGCACAGCCAAGGATTGCTAGATATTTGAGGAACACGTCCAAAATGAAAGAAAAACTAAAGATAAATAAATAGGATCTGAATTTGGAGAAAACAGAATGCAAAAAGCAGAAAAGAACTTTCAACTCAAATTGTTATCCTCAGAGAGATTCTTAAAGAGACTGCATCTATAAATCAAGAACAATGTGCTATTTATAAAAAAGATCAACGCCAGAAGAACCACAGAAAAAAAAATTTCCAATTCTCAAAATAAAAGATGCAATAAAGGACTAGAAGTTAAAGTATCTCAGGAAGTACAACAAAATGTAAGATAAAAGGCACAAAGATAATCAATCCAACAGATCCAAAATCCTACTAATGAAGAGTTCCAGAAACAGAAAACGAGAGAAAAAAAATGAATGAAGAAATAGCACAAAGAAATGTCCCAAAGTTAAGAGATTCCAATCTCTAGACAGAAAGGGGCCAGCATACTGACTACTCAGTACAATTAATAATAAAACTAAATAAGCAAACAAAAAACACTGAAATTTCAGAATACCAGAGATTTTTTAAGTTTGGGAGAGAGGAGGTCACCAAAACAGGAAAAGAATCAGAACAGTATAACACCTACACAATGTGATAGAACAAAATAGAACAATGATCCTAAAACCTTGAGGAATAATTATCTTCAACATCATATTTTATATCCAAATTAGCAAGTAAGTGTGAGATTAGAATAAAGACATTGTCAGATACAGGACGACTCAGAAAATTTACCCCTCACCCACACTTCCTTAGCAAGTTACTTGAGCATGCACTCCAGGAAATGGAGGTACTGAATGGTAACAGGAAGCCATGAGATTCGATAAACAGCAAATCACATTCCGGAGGGTCAGCAAGGGGAATGCTGTAGTTAACACCCATATGGCAGAGTGTTGAGGAAGAACGAAAACTTTATTTTTCAGGACAGTTAAATAAATATGTAATATCTAAAATGTGTAAGTGTTTAAGTAGTGAAAAGGGCAACATAATTATTTAGTGCTATGAAGATGGCGACCAAAAGAAACAGCTAAATAATTGAAAGAGGATGCCATTGGCAAAAACATTTGGAGGGCATGGAGCAGTGGGTGGCCATTTGGCCCAATTTTTTTAAACCATGCATATGAATCACTTTGATAAAAATGTAAACTGTATCTCTTTAAAGGGCACAGAGAGAGGATTAGCTCTCATCAGAAGGGCCGCTTCTCCTGAGACTACAAGATTATGAGCATGCTAAGTAAAGCTAAGGGTTAGAAGTGAGATGTTTTACTGGGCTTGATAGGTAAACTTGATTTCCTGTAAGGCAGGAAGCTAAATTATAAATATAATGCAAAATAAAAATGTTTGCTAAGATTGAGAAAGCAGCACTAGAGTAGATGGTCTATGCGAAGTAGTGAAGGCTTGGCAGAGCTATAATGGGCAAAGGCGAAAGAAGGTGACCAGAAACTTGTCAAAGTATATACATCACAATGCTAAGGATGGAGAGTATATATTTACAGAAGGAAAAAAAAGTATGCCGCTTTAGGGCTTGTGAAGGTGTGGTTCCTTTCTCGGAATTACACTTATTAATTTAAAGTGCCTCAATAATATATCAGATCATTAAAGTTGTATAAAATCATTTGCTATGTATTAAATGTAGCAATTATTTGTTCACATAAGTGATAAAAGAAGACTATCTTCCACAATGTACAAGAGTCCATGAGAGACCTTATTAACATGTTATCTAGTATTCTAATCAAATTCTAAATATGAGCAAAGTCCCTTCCTAACAAAATTGTGAATGCCTTGAGAATTTTATCCATGACTGACATTTTGGAAGAAGCAACTTTCACTGAACACATACTGATTGTCAGGTAATGAGCTGGTGCTAAAAAGAGAGTCATGCCTAACCTCAAGGAGTTCACTGTCCACAGGAAGAGTGAGACAATTAACTCAACAATTAGAACAGAATTTGATAAATATGGAACATGTTTGTCTTGCTAACCAAAGTATTCCCAATGTCTGATTTCATTAAATAATCCCAATCTGTAATTACTGAAGTGCTGCCCCAGGGCAGGAAAAATAGGAATAAATAAAGCAAAGAATGGCAAGAAGGGAATTCCAGACAAAGAAAAGAGCATGTGTAAAAGCCAGAAGAAAGGACAAAGGAAGTAGGAGGCATTAAAAGGTGTGCAGATAAGAGGACATGGCAGAAGGGTTGAAAGGGTAGGGTGCTTTGTTTTCAGACCAAATTGCTGATCAACAGCCAAGGCCCATCATTTTATTTTCATTCTGGGGGCCAGAAATTGTTGAAACCATTTGAAATACACTTTCAACACTACATATAAATGGCAAATATTTATCACTATTTGATTTTTTTTTGTCCTTTTCTGAGACAGGGTCTCACTCTGTCACCCAGGCTGGAATGAAGTGGCATGATCCTAGCTCACTGCAGCCTAGACTTCCTGGGTTCCAGTGATCCTCCCACCTCAGTCCCCCGAGTAGCTGGGACCACAGGTGCCTGCCACCATGCCTGGCTAATTTTTTATGTCACCAGGCTCGGATAATTTTTGTATTTTTGGTAGAGATGCGGATTCACCAAGTTGCCCAGGCTGGTCTCAAATTCCTGAGCTCAAGTAATCCACCTGCCTCAGCCTCCCACAGCGCTAGGATTACAGGCATGAGCCACTGCACCTGTCTATTACTGGACTTTCAAATTTTCAAAGTTCAAAGATGTTACAAAATGACAGACTCAAAACCGTTTTCATTTATAAAACTAGAGACCTTTTAAGGCTTTGTAACAAATATATCAAGAGATACTCATATTAAAAATCTGTATGAAAATAAGCCACCTTTAAATATAATGAAATACTATGACCCTTTTGACATATAAAAACATGTATTTAAAATATAGTAGAAACATTACATAAATTCACTAAATACAATCACATAAAAACGCATGCATTGTACCTTGGTAAGATAAAAAGAAAAATAAGCAAATATCTGGTTTTAAGTATTTAGAAAGTGTTTATTTGTATAGTTAAGTGTGTTATAAATCTCTTAAAAAACCCCTAAAACTAGGTATAAATACCTTAGAATTATAAAAATTTCAAAATTTGATATAAAACTCCAAAATGTAAAAACCTAAGAGGTATGATGCAGTTATACAAATACTTTTAAAGAAGGTATTTTATGTATTATACTATTTGCAGAAACATATTAAAATTAACAAACCATGGGAATTACAAGATACCAAATTTTGGAATTAAATTCCTTCCTGTTTTCTTTTCACGTGAAATAGCACCTGTTTTCTAAATATGTATAACCAAGGTCCTAAAATTAAAATTCCCAAAGATAAGTTATCACTATAAACAAGAACAACCATAACAAATGGAAATATAAAGAAAACCTATAGCACTCACAGTCCCTTACTAATCCTAGTAAGATAGCTATAGAATGGAAAAAGTCCACAATTCCAATCCTAAAGCCAGTCAAAACATAGTTGTGACTGATCAGAAGCCTTGATATTATAAAGATTTCAATTCTTCCTCCAAATGGTCAATGGATTCTATGCAATGCTCATCAAAATTCTAGCAGGTTTTTGAAAACTGACAAGCTGATTCTAATAAGAATAATCAAGACAATCTAGAACAGGGGTCAGCAAACTATGGCCTATGTTCCAAATACAGTTAAAAGTGATCTTTTTTACATTCTTGAAGGTTTAAAAAAAAAAAAAGGCTGCACATGGTGGCTCATGTCTGTAATACCAACACTTTGGAAGGCCAAGGTGGGCAGATGGCCTGAGCCCAGGAGTTTGAGACCAGCCTGGACAACACAGGCAGATCCCATCTCTACAAAAAATAACGTAGCCAAGCATGGTGGGACACATCTACAGTTCCAGCTACATGGGAGGCTGATGTGGGAGGACTGCTTGAGCCCAGGAGGTCAAAGTTGTAATGAGTTGTGATCCTGCCACTGCATTCTAGCCTGGGCAACAGAGTAAAGACCCTGCCTCAATAAAATTTTTTTTAAATGTGAAAAAAAAAAAAAAAAGAAAAGAAAGAAAAATATTTAACAGAGACCAAATGTGACCCACAAGGCCTACAAATATTTACCACCTGGCCCTTTATAAAAAGCTTGCCAGGCCAGGGATGATGGCTCACACCGGTAATCCCAGCACCCAGGGAGGCCAAGGCAGATGGATCACCTGAGGTCAGGAGTTCGAGACCAGCCTGGCCAAAACAGTGAAACCCCATCTGTACTAAAAACACAAAAATTAGCCGGGCATGGTGGTGCACACCTATAATCCCAGCTACTTGGGAAGCTGAGACAGGAGAATCGCTTGAACCCAGGAGGCAGTGGTTGCAGTGAGCGCCACTGCACTCCAGCCTGGGTGACAGACTGAGACTCCGTCTCAAGAAAAAATAAAAAAGAAAGCTTGCCAATCCCTTATCTAGAAGCACAGAATTGGAGGACCTACACTAACAGATAAATTTATTGTAAAGCTACAGTAATTAAAATATGACACTAATGCAAAGACAGACAAATAGACCACAGGAATGGAGAGTCCAGAAACAAACTCATTTAAACATTGAATTTATGATGAAGTCACTGCAAAGTAGTAGGGATGACTTCTTCAGTAAATGGTGTTGGGGTGAACTGGATAGTTATTCGGAAAAAATAAACATTGACCCCTACCTCACGCTATATAAAATCAGTTTTATATGGAGTATTGATTTAAAAATAAAAGGTTAAAGAAATAAAAGAAGAAAAAGTAAATAATAATACTTGTAGCCTTACGGTTTCTTTTCTTTCTTTTTTTTTGAGTCAGGATCTCACTATGTTGCCTACGTTGGAGTGCAGTGCACAGCTCACTGCTGCCTTGGCCTCCCAGGCTCAAGCGATCCTCCCACCTCAGCCTCCCACATAACTGGGACCACAGGCACATGCCACCAAGCCTGGCTAATTTTTTACTTTTTGTAGAGACAGGGTCTCACTATGTTGCCCAAGCTGGTCTCAAATTCCTAACCTCAAGCAATCCTCCTGCCTCAGCCCCGCAAAGGGCTGGAATTATAGGTGTGTGAGCCACCATGCCCAGCTGACAATATATTTCTAAGAACAGAAAGGAAATGTGGTGTGGTAATTCACTTAGTTATTAAACAGGAAGGACCTTATCTTATCACATATTTTGTGGCAAGAACCTGGACCATCTCAATTTGCTAAAAGGATATGTGACAGAAGGCCAGGCGCGGTGGCTCACGCCTGTAATCCCAGCACTTTGAGAGGCCGAGGCGGGTGGATCACGAGGCCAGGAGATCGAGACCATCCTGGCTAACACGGTGAAACCCCGTCTCTACTAAAAATGCAAAAAATTAGCCAGGCGTGGCGGTGGGCACCTGTAGTTCCAGCTACTTGGGAGGCTGAAGCAGGAGAATGGCGTGAACCTGGGAGGTGGAGCTTGTAGTGAGCTGAGATTGCGCCACTGCACTCCAGCCTGGGCGACAGAGCGAGACTCCATCTCAAAAAAAAAGAAAAAAAAAAAGGGTATGTGACAGAATTATTTCATCTTTTAAGATGTTTGTGTGCCCAAATTTAATGGATGAAAAGAGTTTGTCTTTAACATTTTTTTCACTATCCCTTTATTTTTATTTTTGAGACAGACTCTCACTCCGTCACCCAGGCTGGAGTACAGTGGTGCAGTTCTGCAACCTCTGCCACCCAGCTTCAAGCAATTCTCATGCCTCAGCCTCCTGAGTAGCTGAGATTGCAGGTGTGCACAACCATGCTCAGCTAATTTTTGTATTTTTAGTAAAGACAGGGTTTTCCCATGTTGGCCTGGCTGGTCTCAAACTCCTGACCTCAAGTGATCCGCTCGCCTAGGCCTCCCAAAGTACTGAGATTACAGATGTGAGCCACCATGCCCGGCCCCTTTATTCTTAAATTCTGTAAATTATTTGTAAAATTACTTTAAACTTTAAAATACAAAGGGTCCATTGGACCTAAAAGGTAAACGGTAAAGACTACTTTTCTACTATACTGAGATCAAACTGTCTTACTGCAGCGTTTAGTTTCTTTTTTTTTTTTGAGACGGAATCTCGTTCTCGCTCTGTCACTCTGTCGCCCAGGCTGGAGTGTAGTGACTCGATCTCGGCTCACTGCATCCTCCACCTCTGCATTCAAGTGATTCTTGTGCCTCGGCCTCCCGAGTAGCTGGAATTACAAGCGTGCACCACCATGCCTAGCTAATTTTTGTATTTTTGGTAGAGCTGGGGCTTCACCATGTTGGCCACGCTGGTCTCAAACTCCTGACCTCAAGTGATCTGCCCGCGTCAGCCTCCCAAAGTGCTGGGATTACAGGCATGAGCCACTGTACCCAGCATGCAGCGTTTACATTCAAGTGCTCATTAAGAAAATAAAAAGTCCTGCAGTGAGAAATTTGTAATACATATAATGGATAAAAAACTGATGTGTAGAATTCACAAAGAACTCCTACAAAATCAGTAAGACATAAAACCTAGTCAAAAAATGGGAAAAAGACTTGAATCAGCATTTCATAAAAGAGGAAATACAAATTAACAATAATCAAATAAAAAAAGTGAAACCTCATTAGTCATCAGGGAAATGTAAATTAAATCCATTATCATGATACCACTAAACATCCACTAGGATTGCTAAACCTTAAAAGTTTAACAATACCAAGTGTTGATAAGGATGCAAAAAAACTGAAACACTGAAACACTGCTGGTGAGAATATAAACTGAAACAACCACTTTGGAAAAATGTTTAACAATACCCATTAACGCAGAACATGTATATACTCTATAATCAGGCAATTCCAATCCTTAATAGATATCCAAACAAAATTAAACACACACAAACAAACACATACATCTAAAGGGACACATACAGCATCAAAAGACACACAGCAGCACTTTTCATAATAACCAAAAAACTTCAATGACCATTAATATTAAAATGGATAAACAGATTGTGTTATATTCATACAATGAACTATTGTACAGGAACGGGAATAAACTACTACTACACACAACATGGATGACTCTCACAATAATACAATGTCAAGTGAAAGATGCCAGACTCATGAGTACATACAGTATTATTTCACTCACATGAAGTTCAAAAATAGGCAAAACTAATCTATGGCTCAGTATAGCAGTTATCTTTGGGGTATTAGAAAATAACTGAGGGGGATGAGGGAGATTTCTTGGGCACCAGTAATTCCTATTTCTTGATCTAGTAGTGATACCATGTGTGCCTTTTTTTTTTTTTTTTTTTTTGAGACGGAGTCTCACTCTGTCACCCAGGATGGAGTAGAGTGGCACGATCTTGGCTCACTGCAACCTCCGCCTCCCGGGTTCAAGCAATTCTCCTGCCTCAGCCTCCCAAGTAGCTGGGACTACAGGCGCATGTTACCATGCCAGCTAATTTTAGTATTTTTTAGTAGAGATGGGGTTTCACCATATTGACCAGGCTGGTCTCGAACTCTTAACCTCATGATCCGCTCCCCCCTCAGCCTCCCAAAGTGCTGGGATTACAGGCATGAGCAACCGCACCTGGCCAATGTGTGTCTTTATTTTGTGAAAATTCACTAAGCTGAACACTTAAAATTGTGCACTTCTCTGTTACGTTTCAATAAGTTTTATTATATGTGAAAAAAAAGGTCCTGGAAAACCAACATCCATTGATATGACAGTTTTCTGGACCAACGGTAGTCTTCTGGAAGACTGAGTGAATCCAATGATATACACAGTGTCAAAACAGCTCCCCTAGACTCTCAACAATGTGATATGTTATTTACATGTCATGCAGTTTTGTCACATGACTTTTTAGAAATCTCGTTTTTATAAAGCAGCTTAAATCTGGATTTTGCAAAAACTCAAAGCCATTTACAGTACTTTATTTGTAACAGCATGTTATCAGTAAATTTGTTTAGTTGTGTTCTAAACTCTTGTTTTTCTAATCAGCTTTGATTATTTAAAAAAAGTGGCTTCTCATATCAGTTATATGTTTGATAGCAAAATCTGAATTAGAAATACAAGAAGTTCACAGGTTTCCTTAATAGTATAGATTATTCTTACCTCAGTCTTGTTCACTCACTAACCAGCTTCCCACTGATTTTTTACCTAGTTACACTGGAGAAAAAGAACTATGCCTGGGTAACAGTCCCAAACTATACTCTATAAGGGCTGAGTGAGCAAAAGCAGCAGGGGGTGACTGAAATGGCAATGACATAAGCTAGTTAGGGGAAACGTTTTCAAAACAAGGTGGATAATGTGAGTAGGATCCAATTCAAGGATTAAAAAGCCATCCTTATCAAAGCTGCAGATGAAAATGCTGAAGAGGGATATCACATACCTAAAACAATATAATCATCATTGACCAAGATTTCAGCAGACTGAAATGATGGTGCAAACCTAACTAGAAAACAATCTAAAGAGAAATGTAAAGTCTTAGAAAAAGGAACAAGAAAAACAAAAACAAAAAACCAACCACACAAGTTCAGGATAAGAGAGACTTGGCTTAATAAAAGCTAATGTGAAAAAGACCTGGGAAGCTAGATTGATGTTAAGTTCAACAAGAGTCAACACTGTGAGAGTGCTGAAAAAAACAAACAAAAAAGCAATTTGTTAAGCTATACAATATAAGCACATTATTTATAATGAAGTTGGTACTAGGCCCATGCTCCTCTGCATCTGAAGTAAGTGTTCATTCTGAAGGAGACTAACAAACTAAAGGCCCTTCAAAGGACAGTGAGCAGTACAGCAGGATGAGGTTAGAAACAATGTTAAGATGAAAAGAATCTGAGTTGTGATTGGCAGAGCAAACTGGGTGAGGTAGGGTGAGGGAGACATGAGGGTAATAGTTTTTAAATAACTGTAGTGACATGCTGTAGAAGAGGCATAGGATAATTCATTCTGTGTTGCTCCAGAGGCAAATCTAGAATCAACAGATAAAAGTTAAAGAATCACATTTAGGTTCAATGTAAAAAACAAACTTTCTAGAATCAATGCCTTATATGGCAGTGTTCCTAATCACAATGCCAATGTTAAGCATACAACTGCTCATCACAGAAAGTACAATGGACTTAAAGTGGGTCAGAAGTCCTTGGATTCTAATCTCATCTTGACCATTTACTAGCTGTGTTATATGAGGCAAGGTATTTACAACCTCTCTGAATCTCAGCTTTTCTTATGTATTTATTTACCTCCTGATATCACTAAGAGGAATAAATAAGATGATATGTGCAAGACTCATTGTGACAAACTGAAATGGAATACAAACGTGCGTTGCCGTAGACAGATATATTAGATAATTGCTAATATCCTCCCAGCACAGAGATTATTAACTTGAGAAGTTATTTTCTTCTGAAGACAAAACTTAAAATAGGTCCTAAATTCACACAGCCAAGATTTAGTAGGCAAAGAGAGAAAATATTAACATGACGGAAATCAAGGGAGCAGGAAATGTATGTTTCATGAGGTGTTAAGAATGTACTTCTCTGATAGCAAATTAGTTACCAGATCTAAAAGGCAATGCTCATTCCAGGAGATTAAGAACGAATTCAAATCAAGATGATACACATGCCAAATAAGCACTGACAGTATAGGCTTGAATCATGGCAGTAAACAGAGCTTAAATAGTACTTTTGCTTTGGGGACCCTCTAGACTCAACTGTACCTATTCTGGGGTTCTACTCACTCTGCTAAATAATCCTGACTGAGCAAGTTACGCAGTCCTCTCAGTGCCATTTTGTTAAGAGTAAATGGAGAATAATCTGCCTACTTCACAGGTTGTTGAGAAGACTTCCATGAGATAATAATGTGTGTAAAGTCTCTAGCAAGGCTTCTTGGTACACAGAGGAATTCATGTTAATTGCCCTTTCTCTTAACTTTGATTGTGGATGGAGTTTTGTGCCACACTGCTTTCAGAATTATAAGCTTGGGGAATAAAAGATATATTTTGTTTTCAAATGTTAAAATGAGGTTGAAAAAAATGATGATGTAGATCCACTGATACTGAGATGAAAATCTAAGCAATACGCAGATTGGTGGAAAAATAAGTTATAAGATAATCTACTCAGTATGATCCCATTTCTGCAACATATATTTTTAAAATGATTCTCTCCAGATGGTGGAATTAGGTGACTTTCACTTTTTTCTACACTTTTCTGTAATGTTTGAATTTTGTATAAGGAGTACCCATTTCTACTACAATTCCCAACTGAGAAAAAAACTGATTAAAGTATTTTTCTGGCTGAGCGTGGTGGCTCACACCTGTAATCCCAGCACTTTGGGAGGCCACGGCAGGCAGGGAGGCCAAGGCAGGAGGATCGCTTGAGCCCAGGAGTTTGAGACCAGCCTGGTCAACATAGGAAGATCCCCATCTCTACGAAGTATTTTTTAAAAACTGGCCAGATGTGTTGGTGCGCACCTCTGGTCCCAGCCACCTGGGAGGCTGAGGTGGGAGGACTGCTTGAACCCAGGAGGAAGAGGCTGCACTGAGCCATAATTCTATCACTGCACACTAGCCTGGGTGAAAAACCGAGACCCTGTCTCAAAAAATAATAATAATTTCCATAGAAAAGTTATCATTTAGGTCAACTTGGGGAGAAAAATCTATTTTTACAAACTTGGAAAAAATGAATTTAACAGTTTTTAGAAGGTAAAGAGAAAAAACTTACACACCAGCAATTTTTTTTCTTTCTAAATATGTTGTTCAGGATAAACAGAAGTATCTCCTTAACTGGGGAAAATATAAAGGATGTAAGCTCCATGGGGGCAGGAATTTTATGTGTTCTGCTATATTCACTGCTCTAAGTACAAGAGCAGGAACTTAAATATTTGCTGAATGGATAAAATAAAAGTCCTACTTACCTTATGCTAAATTTCACTGCCTCAAGCCAGTAGAATATTGGCTTATTCATCTTTATCTCTAACAACTAACAAATTATCTAACAAATAGTAATTGCCAATTCAATTATTTGTCAAATGAATGAAAAAGCAAACAAAAGATAAAGTTTAATATTATTTTTAAAGCTAATAAGTCAATACAAAATGATTAGCATTACTCTACAATACTACATTCATTCTGGATTATAATCTCTACATATAGGACAAAAGCAGAGACATCAAAGAAATGGGGGCATGTTACCTTTTCTAGATTACATACGTGATGTCTTAACAAGCAGACAATATAAGTACAAAGAGAGTATAAACATTGTATAAATGAAGCTTTTTATACCATCGAGAACCAAATAGCCTAAGTCAATAAAATAGCCAAACCAAAAAAAAAGAGAAAAAAAAGCAGACCTACCTTGGGCCTCTTGGACTTTCCAAGTAACTACTTCTAGGAGGATCTGGAAGCAGGCCACCTGATCTCACTGGCATGTCCTTCACTGCAGTGATTGGCTGAGATGGAGCAGCTGAAGACTCCCCAAGTCCTTGATCAGATGAGAATGAACTGTATGGCAGAGCAGACTTGCTCAAAGGAGCTTTTGAATTCACTTGTTCTGATGGACCAGCTGATTGCAACGGAGGATGGTAAGTTGTCGGTGGGGCAGAACCAAAAGACACAGGAGTAGGAAGCAGTGCTGGTCTAGGTTTCTCTGGAACTTGCGAGCTCTGTGAACTGGAGGCTGGTGGAACTGGGGCTGCTGTTAACTGAGGAGGTATCCCTTGTGGAACTCCAGGGGGAGGTATTCCTGGAGGAGGTGTAGCTGAAGACAATGGTGGGAGGGGCATGACAGGTGGAGGTGCTGTTGAAGAGAGAGATGGTGGGGGAAGAACTGGTGGTGGCCCTGCAGAAGACAGGGAAGGTGGGGGGAGAACTGGTGGTGGCCCTGCAGAAGAGAGAGAAGGAGGCATCCCTGGTGGGGGAACAGAGGTTGGTAGAGAAGGTGGCATAACAGGTGGGGGCATGCCAGGTGGTGGCACTGTAGCAGGGAGGGCAGGGGGCATCACTGGTGGTGGCAATGAAGGAGGCAACACTGGAGGGGGCATTGTAGGTAGAGGTGGAGGCATCTGAGAATATGGAACAAAAGGAGGTGGCATTGACATGTTCCCCATATACTGGTTCTTCATGTTCTGAAATGAATTGACTTTCTCCTGGAGATAGCTCTGAGTGGCTTTCATATGTCCCTGCCATGTTTTCCACTGCTTCTCATACTCCTGAAGCTGATCTTTATGAGGATAGGAATGGAGTTGTTCCTCCCATAGCTGAAACTCTCGCTCCCATTCTTGGTAAAGATGTTGAAACTGTTGCTGCTGCATCTCATAATGCCGCAGCTGCATATCTACAGACATGGTCTACAAATAAAGGGATAAAAACTATTTAAAACCATTCATATAAGATAATTAATCATAGGTTAAAATATTAATGAATCAAGGGCATTTGACGCTTTAGGAAATTAGAACACTAAAGACTTTGGGAGGCTAAGAATAAGTTCGTTAAGTTCTTTGAGTGATGATCATTCTTCTTCCTTCCTTTGGCTTAGACAACTTACTACAGAGTTGGAAAAACCAACCAAACAATAAAGCAAATACCTATCTTAGCAATAAGTATTTTTCAAGTTTTTAATATGGATAATTTCAAGAACTTGAAAAATGATCTGTTATTATAGATATACAGACACAACATTACCCCTCAAAGATACAACACAAACAAGTATCTAAGTCACTTTATCTTTTACGGTATATTTGCTTAGGTTTTTTGTGATGGCTGTTTTTGGCCTCTTTGCTTATCTGTTACTGTTGTAGTTTACAGGCAAAACACAGGTTAACCTGTAGCTATATGGTAAAAATCCCCAGCTCTTAAGACCCTTAGCAATAGTAAGCTAACATCTGGCCTGGGTTGACATGATCAGGAAACTCTACTATAACCAACCCCTCCCCAGTCCCCCAGGTAATGTGGCAGATAACTACTTGGGCACCCCTTGGGAAACAACTAATTGTCAACAGTTGGTATCTTTTGTTTTTTACACTTAAATCTTTCAAGAATAACAAATCCTTTCAATGTCTTGGGGCAACTTCCTATTGTGGACTATGGAAGCACTTGCCTGTATATGTGGTGGGGGCTGTATAATCTGCTGATACTGTTGTAGAATCTGCTGTAACTGAGTGTGCTTCTGCATTATTCCCTGATACTGGAAACCGACTCGATGCTGCTGGTGCTGCTGCCAGTGTGCTGCTGCAGCCTGCAACTGCTTTAACCTGGCATCTTCTTCTGGGTCCTCAGACTAAAGATAAAAGAGGACACATCTTTATGTAAGTCATAAAACAGCAAGCAAAAATATTTTATAAATGTATTATAAAGTCCAGAATCCCTACAACTCAGAAATATCCAACTGTCAAACACAGTATCTTCAGTTCTTTTTGGATTGAGAACAGCTATTCTATCTTTAGATAAAACACATAGCTCTATCTATACTATTATGGATACTAATACAAAGGAGTTTATAAATTCCATAGTCTTCACTGGAATAATAATCTTATTATTCCTAAATATGACAACAATTTTCCCAGTGGAAAGTGGTCCCAGGCCGGGCACCATGGCTCACACCTGTAATCCCAGAACTTTGGGAGGCCAAGGCGGGTGGATCACTTGAAGTCAGGAGTCCAAGACCAGCCTGGTCAACATGGTGAAACCCCGTCTCTACTAAAAATACAAAAATTAGCCAGGCATGGTGGCAGGTACCTGTAATCTCACCTACTTGGGAGGCTGAGGCCGGAGAATCACTTGAACCTTGGAGGCAGAGGTTGCAGTGAGCCAAGATCGCGTCACTGCACTCCAGCCTGGGCGACAGAGCAAGACTCCATCTCAAAAAAAAAAAAAGGAGGGGAGGGGAGGGGAGGGAAGAGAGGTCCCAGCTACTTGGAAGGCTGAGGCAAGGAGGATCACTTGAGCCTGGGAGGCTGAGGCTGCAGTGAGTTGAGATCACACCACTGCACTCCAGCCTGGGCAACAGAGTGAGACCCTGTCTGGAAAAAAAAAAAAAAAAAGTGAACCTTAAGTTATAGACCTTTTCACTCTATGAAAAATCCGTTTCTTTTTTTGTCACTTTTCACCAATGGACTACAATATAACCATCATGGTTTGATTAAACCCTTCATATAAGGCTCTTGGGAGAACAATGACCTTTGGACCAATATGAGAACCTCCCATGTGCCAGTCACTAAGCTGAGTGACAAGAATTATCACATTTAATGCTTGAATACCTCTATATGATAGCTACTATTGAATATACCCATTTTGCAGAGGAGTAAATTGAAGCACAGAATGGTTAACAAATTTGCCCAGTCACTACTGGCAAGTGGCAGTACCTGGATTATAGCCTGGGTAGCTTGACTCTAAAAGCTCAAGCACTCAACTATTGCCCTGTGCTGTCACTATGAACATATGCTGGCATCTTCCTTTAGTGCTTAGAGGCACTCAATTCAGAAGAGTATCCAACTCTTCACTCAAACTAGGAAAAATTTCCTTTTCTAAACCTGATACAACAGGCCAGGCATGGTGGCTCATGCCTGTAATCCAAGCACTTTGGGAGGCCGAAGCAGGTGGATCACTTGAGGTCAGGAGTTCGAAACCAGCCTGGCCAACATGGTGAAACCCCATCTCTACTAAAAAATACAAAAATTAGCCGGTCATGGTGGTGCATGCCTGTCATCCCAGCTACTCAGGAGGCTGAGGCAGAAGAATTGCCTGAACCTGGGAGGCAGAAGTTGCAGTAAGCCAAGATCGCACCATTGCACTCCAGCCTGGTAAACAGAGAGAGACCCTGTCTCAAAATAAATAAACAAACAAATAAACCTGATACAACAGACATCTGATTTCACAAATGCAACTTTATAGGTACCTAAAAAAACAAAAATATATATCCATTTATGATAAAAGTATACTAAATGAATCAGAAAAAAGCTAAATAATTTAATAAACACAAACAATTAATTATATGGTTACCTGGGGTTCCTCAGGTGGGAGAGGAGGTGGCACTTCCTCATTTGGAGGTGGCAATGGGGGCTCCTCAGAAGAAGGAGATTCTGGAACTTGACTGGTGGCAGGTACTGTAACTTCTTCTTTTACCGGCTCTGGTGTATCCTTTGCTACCACAGGACCCTTTTTGTGTCCTGGCAAATGAACTTTTGTCCTCTGTTGCAAACTAAGCAAGTGCTGTCGATACCAATACTGCTGCTGTTCCTACAACAGAAACAATTTTTGAGAATTTTGATTGACAATCATGTATCTCTGCAACTTGGTGTTGACAAGGACCTATCTTTATGTCTGTGTTCATGTGTCTATATGTAAAAAAAGGCAAAGCTAGACTGAGGAAGACAAATAAGTTAACAAGATCTTAAACACAGGCTACAGAAAAATTTCAGTTCCTCCCCCAAATTTATACATTTAAATTAAACCATACATATTAATTCAACATGCTTCTGTACTCTAATAAAACACATGCTTTTGGAGGTAAGAGCCATCTTTTTGATAAATGATCAGGGTAAATCTCTTCAGTATTCACAACTACTTATTTTTAACCTGGCTTCAGTTTGTTCCGATTTATTGACAGGGGTCTTGTAATTAATGAATATAACTGAACAGTCCTACCTCTCTTCTCTGCCTTCTCTCTTTCTCCTCAAGCACTCCTCCCTCTTTTCTTTCTTTTTTTTTTGAGACTGCATCTCACTCTCTCACCCAGGATGGAGTACAATGGCCTGAACATGGCTCACTGAAGCCTCAACCTCCCAGGCTCAAGCAATCCTCCCACCTCAGCCTCCTGAGCAGCTGGGTTCGTAGGCATGCACCATCACGCCCAGCTAATTTTTTTATGTTTTATAGACACAAGGTCTTACTGTGTTGCCCAGGCTGGTCTCAAACTCCTGGGCTCAAGCAATTCTCTTACCTCAGCCTCCCAAAGTGCTGGGATTACAGGTGTGAACCACTGCACCCAGCCTCCTCCCACTTTGAAACACCTGTTGTAGCATTAGTCTACCCATACTCAGATGTACACACATATAAGAGAATATGCTGTACACACATATAAGAGAATATGCTGTGTTTTATTTATTTTTTTTTTTTTGAGATGGAGTCTTGCTCTGTCACCCAGGCTGGAGTGCAGTGGTGTGATCTCGGCTCACTGCAACCTCCACCTCCCAGGTTCAAGTGATTCTCCTGCCTCAGCTTCCCGAGTAGCTGGGATTACAGGCACCCACCACCAAGCCCAGCTAAATTTTTTTATTTTTAGTAGAGATGGGGTTTCACCATGTTGGCCAGGCTGGTCTCGAACTCCTGACCTCAGGTGATCCACGAGCCTCGGCCTCCCAAAGTGCTGGGATTACAGGTGTGAGCCACCGCACCTGGCCAATATACTGTGTTTTAAAATGCTTTCTATTTATTTTAAAAGCCTTAGCTTTATCTTCCAAATTATGCTGTACTTTAATTTTCTGAAAGCTTATTTTGTGCTTTCATTTAAAAATTACAACAATAAGCTTAGTATGGAAATATTAGAAAATATAGCCAATCCTCATTATTCTTGGATTCTGTATTTGCAAATTTGCCTACTTGCTAAAATTTTTTTTTCTTTTTTTGAGACAGGGTCATCTCCCTCTGTCACCCAGGCTGGAGTGTAGTGGTGCAGTTTCAGCTCACTGCCACCTCCGCCTCCTGTGCTCAAATGATCCTCCCGCTTCAACCTCCCGAGTAACTGGGACCACAGGTATGTGCCACCATCTGGATAATTTTTGTATTTTTTGTAGAGACAAGTTTCACCATGTTGCCCAGGCTGGTTTCAAACTCCTGGACTCAAGTGATCCACCTTGGCCTCCCAAAGTGCTGGGATTACAGGCATGAGCCACCACACCCGACCTAAAATTTATTTCTAAACCCAAAATCCATACTCACTGAGCTTTCCCAGTCATTCACAAACATGTGGACAGCAGTGAAAAACATGAGTCCCCTGACTCATGTGTGCATTCCCAGCCGAGATGAAGTGCAAGGTGATGCTCTGCCTTCTTGTTCCAGCTCTATACTATAAATAAGTGTCATTTTCAGTCTATTTAGAGACACATTTGTCAAACTTTTGTGCTTTTTTGTTGATTTCACTATTTAAAATGGCCCCCAGGCATAGAGCTGAGATGCTGTTTAGTGTCCCAAGAGCAAGAAAGCGGTCTTATGTCTCACAGAGAAAATATCTGTGTTAGGTCAGCTTTGTTCGGACAAGTGCTACAGTGCTGTTGGCCATGAGTACAATGTTAATAAATCAACAATATGTACTAAATAAGGTTCTTTAAACAGAAACACACATAAACAAGGCTATGTGTTCATCAGTTGATAAAAATGTGACAAGAGACTCACAGGAACCTAACCCTGTATTTCCCCGAGGAGCACTGGTTCAGTATTCACTAATTCAGTGTCTGTGGTGAGTTTAAAAATCTCAAATAAAGAAAACTGACTACACAGGTAAGTAATAACTAATTAATTAAAATCAATAAAAGAAATCTCACCACTCAGAAAAAAACTACAGGAGTGTCATTATCCTAGTATTATATAATTTCCCATGGTTACAAGGTTGCATAAAGAAAACCAAAAGTTATCATAACACTAAAATATTCACTGATGAACTGCCCTGTATACTTATATGACTAACAAAAGCATATGATTCTACTACAATTGTATGGATGTAGTATTTCAAGAAAGTGATGTTGGAGAACATTGGAACTTATTACTGGCAGCTGAGGATCTGCTAGAAGTCCTACCAGTTAACAACCGAACAGTACTTTACAGTAAAAACTATAAAAGAGAATGGCCTGAATACCAAAGGTTGAAAAACAGTCCGTATAAAAATCGATAAATCCCTAAAATATTTTTTCAACATGTCAAAAAATGAAATAAAAGATGATCTATAATGTTGTTATATAATTTTCCCACAAAAATTACAGCAAAGAAACCCAATCTATAGTTTATTCTTTGTTCATTCTAAAACTTGGCTATGATTTCATTTATAACAATTCCATCAAATATAAAATCTGCTTATCCTTATCACTTTGAGCTTTGTTTTTCCAGACTGGGTCCCAATCAAATGTTTTATGTTTTACAATAAACTTTTGGTTCCTGTGTTAAATGAATTCACTTTACTTGCCTATTTTCTAATCCAATTATCTCTGGATAACTAGGATTTCCTACACTGTTAATATTTTATAGTATAACCTCCCCTAATTTTCCATATGCAAACAGATGCATTAAATATACATAATACATACCTTTTTCTCACCAAACATACTGATTTGTTACCTACTTTTCACTCAAAGAATGTAATTTTTCTTAGGGGACAGCTGCCTTCCCCTCTTTTTATATCCTATCTGGTAGTCAAGCATAGTGCTAGAGCACACAGTAGGATGTCAATAAATGGTTATTGATCAACTGAAGCCCTTCCCTCTCGGTCACTCATTACTATTACCTGAAACTTGTTCCAATCTATTGGGAAGAATAAATTCCATCTCATAAACTCCATCTTGACGTTTAACCCATGACTGGATTTTTTGTTTTTAACTATTATACATATAATCATCAGCTCCCAGGATATAATTACAGATGGTCCCTGACTTAACAATGGTTCAACTTATGATTTTTCGACTTTATGGTGGTGTGAAAGTGATATGTATTCACTGGAAACCATACCATGAATTTTGATCTTTTCCCAGGCTCAAAATATTCAGTATGATACTCTCTTGTGATGCTGGACAGCAGCAGCGAGCCCTAGGCTCCTAGTCAGCCACACATCATGAGGGCAAACAATCAATCCTCGGCCAGGTGCAGTGGCTCACACCTGTAATCCCAGCACTTTGGGAGGCCAAGGTGGGCTGATCACCTAAGGTCAGGAGTTCAAGACCAGCCTGGCCAACATGGTGAAACCCCGTCTCTACAAAAATACAAAAAAAAAAAGGCGGAGCGCAGTGGCTCACGCCTGTAATCCCAGCACTCTGGGAGGCCGAGGCAGGTAGATCATGAGGTCAGGAGATCAAGACCATCCTGGCTAACACGGTGAAACCCCATCTCTCCTAAAAATATAAAAAAATTAACCTGGCATGGTGGCAGGCACCTGTAGTCCCAGCTACTTGGGAGGCTGAGGCAGGAGAATGGCATGAACCCAGGAGGCGGAGGTTGCAGTGAGCCGAGATCACGCCACTGCACTCCAGCCTGGGCGACAGAGCGAGACTCCGTCTCAAAACAAAAAAAATACAAAAAAATTAGCTGGGCCATGGTCGCAGGTGCCTGTAATCCCAGCTACTTGGGAGGCTGAGACGGGAGACTCGCTTGAACCCAGGAGGTGGAGGTTGCAGTGAGCCAAGATCGCACCACTCACTGACTCCATCTCAAAGAAAACAAAACAAAACAAGAAAAAAACCAATACTCTACTGTGTACTGTGTGGCCAGATGACTTTGCCTAATGTAAACTTTCTGAGCACATTTAATAGCTAGGCTAAACTATGGTATTCAGTAGGCTAGGTGTATTAAATGTTCAACTTACATTATCCTCAACTTACAATGGGTTTATTGAGATGTAACCCCACTGTAAGTCAAAGAGTATCTGTACTTTTACTATTCAACGTAAGAAAACAGCACACTTGGCCAGGCACAGTGGCTCATGCCTGTAATCCCAGTACTTTGGGAGGTCTAGGCGGGCAGGTCACCTGAGGTCAGGAGTTCGAGACCAGCCTGGCCAACACGGTGAAACCTCGCCTCTACTAAAAATACAAAAATTAGTAGGGTGTGGTGGCACACACCTATAATCTCAGCTACTCCGGAGGGTGAGGCAGGAGAATCCCCTGAACCTGGGAGGCGGAGGTTGCAGTGAGCCGAGATCGTGCCATTGCACTCCAGCCTGGGCAACAGAGAAAGACTCTGTCTCAAAAAAAAAAAAAAAAAAAAAAAAAAAGAAAGAAAACAGCACACTGACCATGAAAGCCAAAGCCAATAATAATAATAATGTAGCATTAAAACACTTCCTTCCATTATTTTAATACTGAAAACATCAACAGACTTATCCTTCAGTTTTAAAAAAATTAGTACATTCTCTTTCAAGTAGAAGTTAAAAGTTTCCTTTTTTAAAGTTGCTTTGAAAGCATTATTAAAAGATACAAAGATGCAAACTATCTTTCACAAACTAAGCCAATGCTACAGATATGAAGACTGTACAGAATGAAAACTGTACAGGTCCAGATTCTTTATCAGCTTCTTCATCACCTATTCTCATGCTTTGTCTTAGATCCAGACCAGGGTTAAGAACTTGTTAAGGGCTGAAGTACTTGTTGATTCACTGACAGTATGCCTTGTAGGTCAATTTCTCTTTTTTTTTTCTTGAGATGGAGTCTCGCTCTGTCGCCCAGGCTGGAGCGCAGTGGCGCGATCTCGGCTCACTGCAAGCTCCGCCTCCCGAGTTCACGCCATTCTCCTGCCTCAGCCTCCTGAGTAGTTGGGACTACAGGCGCCCGCCACCACGCCCGGCTAATTTTTTATATTTTTTAGTAGAGACGGGGTTTCACCATGTTAGCCAGGATGGTCTCGATCTCCTGACCTTGTGATCCGCCCACCTCAGCCTCCCAAAGTGCTGGGATTACAGGCGTGAGCCACCGTGCCCGGCCGCCTTGTAGGTCAATTTCTATTTAATATGAACCCTATAAGTAGTAACCAGATCTAATTCAATCCTATGGTAGGCTTCAGCACATTTTTGAAGCTCTGCAAATAAATAATAATGATATCACTCACAAATGTCCTTACTGACCCTAAGAGAAGTGTGATCATCCCTATTTTAGAAAGAAAAAAAATGCCTGAACTTGCTAATGATGCCAGCTCTTCTGAATGTCCCATCATATCAGATAACTCCATTTCATATGGGATGTTGTTTTATAGGTAGAGGGAAATCATAATATAGGTCACATTTAAAACGAGATTGAATGAAGGGATTTCAAACATAAAGAATGTAGAACTATTGGCTGGGTGCGGTGGCTCACATCTGTAATCCCAGCACTTTGGGAGGCCAAGGCGGGCGGATCACAAGGTGAGGAGTTCGAGACCAGCCTGACCAACATGGTGAAACCCTGTCTCTACTAAAAATACAAAACTTAGCTGGGTGTGGTGGCACATGCCTGTAATCCCAGCTACTCGGGAGGCTGAGGCAGGAGAATCGCTTGAACCTGGGAGGCGGAGGTTGCAGTGAGCCCAGATCCTCGCGCCACTGCACTTCAGCCTGGGTGAGAGCGAGACTCCATCTCAAAAAAAAAAAAAAAATTAAGAATATAGAACTATTTGTCACAAATACTGTTATTAAGAAAGATGCTGCCGAGGCACGAATATCGCTTGAGCCCAGGAATTCAGACCAGCCTGGGCAACATGGCAAGATCCCATCTCTCTGAGAAAAAAAAAAAAAAAAGAAAGATGTTGATTTTAATTTACTCAGGAAGCACTTACTGACCACTGCTGCTAGTAATGAACTAGATACTAAATGATTTTCCAAGTGGAGAACTATAAAGGAGGTGAGTGTTTGTGTGTAATGTTTTAAAGATTAATTTTAGAAGATTACCTTCCCTATCCAGGTTATCATAAATGCCTATAAGACAATGTTCTATGTCTTATATTCTAAAGCAGGGGGCAGGGAGGACACCTGGTAAAATAATGAATTGGGTTTCCATTTTAGAAATTTATTTAAAATAGGCTTAAATATTTTTGAGATTCACATTCTACTGTAAGAATCAGGGTCACCAGATAAGCTTAGTCCCCACCTATTTTTATTTTAAATGCTCATTTACTTCATCTATTCCTCCAGCTCCTTCCCTCATTCTCTCTCTCCTTCAGTCAAACTTCTTGAAAGAGTTGTCTGTACTCACCATCCCCATTTCCTCACCTTCCATCACTCCTCAAATCAATGCAATATGGCTTCAGTCACTATGAAACTGCTCCTGCCAAGGTCAACAATAATCTACATGTCAGTAGGTGCAAAAGATAACTCGCAGTCTTTATCTTGCTTGACGTCTCAGCAGTACTTCACACAGCTGACGACTCCCTCCTCCTAGAGTCTGTTCCTTGACGTTCATGGCAACGCACTATCCACTATCTTGATTTTCCACCTATCACACTGGTGCCAAAGTAACTGTGGTTTTGCCATTAAAAGTAATAGCAAAAACTGCAATTACTTTTGCACCAACCTAATATGAATACCTATTTGGCCATTCTTTCATTGGTTCCCTTAGATACTGCTATTTGTGGAGCTAGGCTTAATGTCCTTTAACCTCAGTTCTTACTCTACACACATTCCTTGAGAGGCTTCATCTATTTCTGTGTCTTCAAATACCATTTTTATGCTGATGACTTATAAATCTATGTCTCCCAGATCTTACATCTAGACTCCAGAGCTATATCTAACTTCCAAGTGGACATCTCCATTTGGAATCTATGTCTCAAGAACCCCAAACTCAGTATGTCTGAAACCTAACTCATGATTTTCTCCTCACCCCCAGAAATGTTCTTCCTCCTCCTCCTTTAGGTTTTTCTGTTTTAGTAAATTTGACCACCATCCACCCTACGGCCCAGCCCAGAAACCTAAGAATCATTCTTGATGCCTCCCTCTCCATAACTACTCAACCTCAAAGTGAATTCTAGCAGCTAAATATTTCTCCACTCTTCCCACTTCTCTCCATCTCAACTAATACCATCAAAGTCTAAACCACTATTATCTCTTGCCTGGATTACTTCAATAACTATTCTCTCTAAATCACTCTTGCTCCTTTTAATTCTGCTCTCCACACTGCAAGCAGAGTGAGCTTTCAAAAATGCCAATCTGTCACATTCACCTATGTAAAATCCTTCAATGGCTTCCAACTGCCCTTAGAATGAAGTCCTTACAGGCCTTCCCTGATCTAGTTCATACCTACCATCCTCACCCTGAGCTTTCAGTGAGCCTTATTGAACTTAATTCTTTGAATTCTAACTTCTGGTTAATTTCTACTCTTTTTCTTTTTTTTTAACTGAGATGGAGTCCCACTCTGTCGCCCAGGCTAGAGAGCAGTGGGGCAATCTTGGCTCACTGCAACCTCTGCCTCCTGGGTTCAAGTGATCCTCCCACCTCAGCCTCCCAAGTAGCTGAGATTAAAAGCGTGCACCACCACACCCAGCTAATTTTTTGTATTTGTAGTAGAGACAGAATTTCACCATGTTGGCCAGGCTGGTCTTGAACTCCTGACTTCAAGTGATCCGCCTGCCTTGGCCTCCCAAAGTGCTGAGATTACAGGCATCAGCCACTGCACCTGGCCTACTCATTTTTTTTTTTTTTAGGTCTCACTCTGTTGCCCAGGCTAGAGTGCAGTGGCACGAGAACTCCTGGGCTTAAACAATCCTCCCACCTCAGCCACCCGCAAGTAGCCGGCACTACAGGCATGCAACACCATGCCTGGCTAGGTTTTTTTTTTTTTTGAGTCGGAGTCTCACTCTGTCGCCCAGGCTGGAGTGCAGTGGCGCGATCTCGGCTCACTGCAAGCTCCGCCTCCCGGGTTCACACCATTCTCCTGCCTCAGCTTCCTGAGAAGTTGGGACTACAGGCGCCCACCACCACGCCCGGCTAATTTTTTGTATTTTTAGTAGAGATGGGGTTTCACCATGTTAGCCAGGATGGTCTTGATCTTCTGACCTCGTGATCTGCCCGCCTAGGCCTCCCAAAGTGCTGGGATTACAGGCGTGAGCCACTGCGCCCGGCCACCTGGCTAGTTTTTTAAACTTTTTGTGGGCGGGGGGCGGGGGGGGGGGTGTCTCACTTTGTTGCCCAGGCTGGCCTTGAACTCCCGGCCTCTAATGAGCCCAAAGAACTGGGATTACAGGTGTGAGCACCCAGTCCTCCTACTTATTCTTTAGAGTTCATTTAAATATCACTTTACAGGCCCGGCGTGGCAGCTTACGCCTGTAATCCCAGCACTTTGGGAGGCCGTAGCAGGTGGATCACGAGGTCAGGAGTTCAAGACCAGCCTGGCCAAGATGGTGAAACCTCTTCTGTACTAAAAATACAAAAAAAAATGGCCGGGCACTCTGACTCACACCTGTAACCCCAGCACTTTGGGAGGCTGAGACAGGCAGATCACCTGGGGTCAGGAGTTCGAGACCAGCCTAGCCAACATGGTGAAACCTCGTCTCTACTAAAAATACAAAAATTAGCCAAGCGTGGTGGCAGGCGCCTGTAATCCCAGCTACTCCTGGGAGTAGCTGAGGCAGGCTGAGGCAGGAGAATTGTTTGAACCCGGGAGGCAGAGGTTGCAGTGAGCCGAGATCGTGCCATTGCACCCCAGCCTGGGCAACAAGAGTGAGACTTCGTCTCCAAAAAAAAAAAAAAAAAAAAAAAAAAAAAGATAAAAATACAAAAAAATTAGCCGGGCGTGGTGGCAGGCACCTGTAATCCCAGTTACTAGGGAGGCTGAGGCAGAAAATTGCTTAAACCCGGAAGGCGGAGGTTGCAGTGAGCCGAGATCGCGCCACTGCACTCCAGCCTGGGCAACAGAGCGAGACTCCATCTCAAAAAAATAAAAATAAATAAAATAAAATAAAAACAAATAAAAAATAAAAAATATCACTTTACAAAGGGAATCCTCTTTAATTAGGTTAGCGCTCCCAGCTATATTCAATTATTTAAAATATATTTGTTCTCCACCTCCTATGCGCTAGATCCTATGCAAGGTACTGTGAATACAGTGGTAACTTAAAAAAAAAACAAAAAACAAAAAACTTGCCTTTGCCAGTTCCTTGGGGAATAATCTAGTGATATTTTATAATCCCATAGCACTCTGTACGTCTCCTCTTAATTACTTACTAAATGTCTTCTCCCTTCCCCCACAACTGAAACAAGAAGTCAATGAGGGCAGGTCCCATGTCTATCTTGTTAACCATTTCATCTCCAGTATTAAGCACAGTACTCATAGTACCTGGCACATAGTTGCTAGTCCGTAAGTATTTAAACATTAAATAAATGATACCTCTAAAAACTAATCAAAGCCAACAGCTTTAACTAAATAAATCAGTCCTTTAAACACATAGAAAAATTAATTATTCAAAAAGACACATTCCGACCGGGCGCAGTGGCTCACGTCTATAATCCCAGCACTTTGGGAGGCCGAAGCAGGTGGATCACTTGAGGTCAGGAGTTCGAGACCAGCCTGACCAACATGGTGAAACCCCATCTCTATTAAAAATACAAAAACTAGCCAGGCATGGTAGCATGCACCTGTAATCCCATATACTTGGGAGGCTAGGGCAGAATTGTTTGAACCCAGGAAGTGGAAGTTGCAGTGAGCCGAGATTTCACCACTGCACTCCAGCCTGAGCGACAGAGTGAGACTCTCTCTCAGAAACAAACAAACAAAAAAACACATTCCATTAAATCATCAACACTTTACCCGAAAAACTAGAAAACACCTGGAAAAATATCAAGTATTTATCTTGTCCTTCCTATACCAACTGTATTTCCAATCAAATATCTGTGGCAAAAGTTTTTCTTTACATAACTCCATATAGTAACTGTGGAAGAAATGGCAGAAAAAAAAAATCACCAGGTTGCAACCTCTGTCTAATGAAATAATTTACTTAGGCAAGGTCTTTCTTCAATTGATGAACCAGTAGACTGAAACATTAGATGCAAGATTGATAGAAAGCTTTACAGTAGAGGGACCAATGGCATTACTAACAGTGGGACAACCAGGCATCGGGTGTCCCATGAGGAATGCAACACTTGCCAAAAGAAAGCTGAACTTAAATGAAGGTTCCAGAGTTAACTTCTAATTCAAAAAAAAAAAAAATGTGGAAGACATAGGAACAAGTCAAATGTGACACCATGAAAAAGCAGACAATGCAGAATGTCAGACATTCTACAGGAAAACTGACAACAGATTTTTCATCAAGTTCAAAGACATGAGGTAGAAAAAGAAAATAGGAGGGACTGACCTAGGTCAAGGGTTCTCAACAGAGGGTAATTTTGTCTCCAGGGGATACTTGGCAATGTGTGGAAACATTTTTGGTTGTCGGACTGGGGGCTGCCACTGGCATCTAATGGGTAGAGGTCAGGGACGCTGTTAAACATCCTACAATGCATAGGACAAGCCCCTCCACAACAAAGAATCATCCTGCCCAAAATGTCCATAGTGCCGAAGCTGAGAAACCCTGATCTATACTAAGAATCTTTTCAGTATTCTGTTTGGACTCTGACTTGAACACACCAAAAAAACATTGTTTGGGAACAGACTGTGAGGACAGAAAACAACAACACTGTTGAGTCAATTTGGGGTATTTTAACATGGATGGTATCAAAGAATTATTTTTAGTTCATTAGTATGATGAAACAATAAAGGAAATCTGAACGGATCAGGTATTAGATGATACCAAGAAACTGTTAACTTTGTTAGGTGTTAACAATGTGTTTATCTAAGAAAGGGTCTTGGCCGGGCACGGTGGCTCACGCCTGTAATCCCAGCACTTTGGGAGGCCAAGGCAGCTGGATCATGAGGTCAGGAGTTCAAGACCAGCCTGACCAACATGGTGAAACCCCGTCTCTACTAAAAATACAAAAATTAGCCAGGCGTGGTGGCATGCACTTGTAATCCCAGCTACTCAGGAGGCTGAGGCAGGAGAATCGCTTGAACCCGGGAGGCAGAGGTTGCAATGAGCCAAGATCGCGCCACTGCACTCCAGCCTGGGCAACAGTGTGAGACTCCATCTCAAAAAAAAAAAAAAAAAAGAAAAGGTCTTGGTTTTGTTTTGTTTTGTTTTATAGAGGTACTTGACTAAGAATGTAGGGATGAAATGACATAAGATCTAAGATTTGCTTTAAAATATTTCAGCAGAGGCCAGGTGTGGTGGTTCATGCCCATAATCCCAGCACTTTGAGAGGTCAAGGCAGTGTACTGTTTGAGCTCAGGAGTTCAAGACCAGCCTGGGCAACATAGCAAAACCCCGTCTCTACCAAAAAAAAAAAAAAAAAAAAATAGCCAGGCATGGTGGCATGCACCTGTAGTCCCAGCTACTTGGGATGGCTTGAGCCTGGGAGGCAGAGGTTGCAGTGAACTGAGACTATGCCACTACACTCCACCCTGGGTGACTGACAGAGCAAGACCCTGTCTCAATATATATATATGCAACAATAATAAAAAAGGCCTAGGTGAAGTAAACATGGCAAAATCTTGATAGCTGTTGAATCTCAATGATGGGTATGTATGGGGAATCATACTTTTTTCTCTATTTTGTGTATTTTAAAAATATTTCACGATAAGAAATTTTGAATGACACATTCCAAAAACAAAATATGAATCAAAGAATAATAAATATGTAGAAGGATTGCCAGAGACTGGTACTGGCATGAAGAAATATTTATCATCTAATAAACCAACATATCCTAAGTCTAGAACATGACAACTCTCGTATTTTATTCAACAAATCTGTGGAGAGCCTACAATTTGCAAGGCACTGTCCTAGGTGCTACGGTAATAAGAAGATAAGTAAGATAATTCCTGTCTGCAAGGGACTTACAATCTGAAGAACAGAACCAAACCAGATGGGTGAGCACAAGCAGGGCTTCATGGAAACCTTGATATTTGAGATATGCCTTGAAAGCAATACAACTCTAAGGGGAAACAGAGGGTTGAGGAGGTTAGGATGAATTCTAAAAAGAAGAAAGAAAGCCACAGGCTTCAAGGCTCTTCTTGATCTGGTCTATGTGCACCACAAGTCTCATTTTCCACCACTCTGCCTCTCACCAAAGAATTGCAGGCACTGAATATTCAAGACACTGAGTTCATTACAGAAAAGGGTACAAAGGCAGAAAAGTAAAAGCACTGTTCATGGTAACTATACATATTAAGGCCTGATCTGACACACACACTCCTCCCAAAAAAAGCCAAAAATACAATTATTTTGTCTCTCTGTAAGGTCAGAAAAACAGTCTAGTAGAGTGAGAATATAAATGTCCTATTTTGGCTCAGACTAACTGAGAATGTTTGACAACAAAAGCACTAAAGACTTCAGAGTGGGGTGGGAAAGAGGACAGAAAGTCTGTCTCTATAATAGAGCAATCTGGGGAAAATAAACTGGTGAGATGGTACAAATTTGATGTAAGCCAACAGAATCATTATTCTACTACTTTATTTCAGCATCCCAAGTGTTTTCTCCAGAAGATGTGCCAAGCATCATTTCTTAAAACAACTTGCTTCTGTTCTTAATTTCTAATGCCAAACCACCGTAAAATTATAATACTGCATCCCTATCTTTTGGAAATCTTTTATAGGTAAATCTGAGCGTTTATATTACAAGATTCTCTTTTTTCCTTAGTGAATCTAAGGTAAATTAGTAATCGCTGAAAAAGTGTCTACTTTAGGAAATCATAACAATTGATTTATTCTGCTTTAGTTTGACCTTCCCTCTCTCAAGGGGGAACTCGTTTATTACTGTTACCCTGTCAATTTGTCTGTTCTGCGGGATAAGAATGGCTGACTCTCTCATGAAAAGATATCACCAAACTTTTTTTACGTTGGCCAAATTGCAAGGCTGTTTCTTTGGAGTGAATGGTAATGACAATGAAACGCAGAAAATTGCTCATTATCTTAAAACAATCTTTAAATAATATGAGAAAAGGATGTCTGGGTCAATTCCTAAAATGGACCAATCGATCCCCAAAAGGGTCTCGGGACTCATCTATGTATTGTATATGTACCTATAAGCATAATTAGGATGCTCCTGGTAAGACAAGATTTCCATCCTTTTTCTGAAACCTCTTAATTCAGGAAGCTGACAACTATCCCTGGCCCCTAAGTAATATTTTTAAAAGAAGCTAACTAATCATAAAGTTTACAAACATTCAAGTGTCAGCCCTTGGCGAGGCCTCTTTTTCATGCTTTCTCTCAAATGGAAACTTTCGTTTAAAATACAATTTTAAAACAAGACCCTCTGCAACAAAATCTATTTGCAACAGCAACAAAATCTAAGAGGATGGTCAAAGAAACCAAGGAATGTATCTGAGAGGTAACTTTTGAGCCACCCCACCACTGTATGTAATCCATACACATCTACAAACGCTGTTTTTTTGGTAATTCACATCTAGCTAATTAAAAAGCTGAGCTGTCAGCCCTCTGACTCTTACGGAATCCTTTGGAGTGTTAGCTAGTCATTGTGTGTTGGAATTAGACTAACCACTGGTTAAAGCCCTGAGGCCTGCTCATTCAGGGCCCTCTAGGTGAAAGATGAGGTTCAGGCAGATGCTTTCTTACCTGTGGAGTCATCGTAGAGGGATCTGGCTCAGGGGCGGCTTGCTGCTGTTCAGTACTCTTGTTTTTGGCCCCACTCTCCAAAGGCTCTTGCTGGACAGTTGTCTTATTTCCAGGGGGGGCGGACGGTGGTGGTGGAGCTAGTAGTTGGGATTTAGAATGGCCCTGGGAGGGGCGGGAAGGAGATGCCTGAGAAGAGGGCAAGTAGGACTGGGAATGGCTCAAATAGGATTGCGAGGAAGAGGAGGAGGATGAGTAAGAAGGGGTGGGCGCCAGGTAGGATTGGGAAGGTGGGGACTGCGAAGGGGACGGCTGAGCAGGAGGCAGGTAGGGCTGAGATGAGGTCGGGGGGTAGTAAGAGGGTGGCGGCTGAGGTGGGGGCATGTAAGACTGAGATGGGGGCATATAGGACCCAGGCGGCACAGGGGGAGATTCAGGGGGGGATTCCAGCTCCATTGGAACCAAACCAGGAGGCCCGTCTCGTTGGTGGTGGAGCATCTGGTGTTTGTACTGCTGCTGCTTCTGATAGCTGAGGGCCGGCCCGGGTGGCGGGGGCATCGGTGGCGGTGGCGGCTGCCAGTCTCCGTAGCCGCCCCCCGGCATCACTGGCGGGGGCGGCAGAGGGGGCGGAGGAAGGTGGTGGGGCTGAAGCACGCACTGCATTTGCTTCTGGTGCATCTGCTGCAGCTGCTGGAGCTGCGCCAAGTGCTGTTCGCGGAAGCTCATGAAGCCCGAGGAGGAGGGGGCCGCGGGAGTCGTCGAGCTCGAGTACCCGGGCCCCGGCGAGGCCTCAGGAAGCGCCACTGGCGGCGGCGGTGGGACCGGTGGCGGCGGATAGTGGCTGCTCCCGCCATACCGGCCCCAATTCGGGTACATATCGAAAAAGAAGGCGCAGGGCTCGTCCTGGCGCCGTTACTCGTCGCAACCGACCTCCAGGAGCCGCGGCGGCGACGGCGACAGCCGGAACTCGCGGCGCCTACAGGCCCCGGAGCGTGTAAACGGAGCGCGCCAGTGCGCCGGCGCTCCCGAGCTGGGCCCGCGACCGGGAAGGCGGGGACGCGACTTGGGCGACTACGTCTGCGCAGTAACCACCGAGAGGAGAACAAAGGCGAGATAGAGCGGTCCTTTACTTGGCGA